>NC_000004.12:118315320-118466835 GCF_000001405.40 Homo sapiens
TTTTTATTTTCATCATTTTCCAATGGTTTTACATTACTTTTATAAATTTTAAAATATATGTTTAACATGGCTTTGCCTAGCTTGAATGAAGCTATGTTTTTAAAGTGTAGTGAATATCTTCAGTCAGCTCTAATCAAGCTAAAATGAAACAATTTTGCCAGTTTTTTTAAGCATAAGACAATTACTTCAAGCATGACAGAGAAATATGGAAAACAAGAAAGAATAGGCATTCATAGCTTTCATTCAAATATTTAACTCAAAAGCATCATTTGCAGTTACTTCGACCAACTTAAGTCTTTACTCTGGAATGCATTATGTGTGTGACATAAAATACATGTCCCAAAGTGTGATACTCAGCTTTTAAGAGAGTGAGGTCAAAAGCAAGTTCTAAAGGTCATCTCCTAACAAGAGGGCTGTTTTTCTCAAATAAAAGTGATAATTATCATCACATTCTGAGAAAGGGAATAATGTAATACCAAAGCATTTGACACTAGACTTCTCTGCAATTTTAGACAATGATGTCAAAACTAAAAACATCCAATAGTAATGACGTGTCAGAATAAAAATGAGCATTCAAAGTCTTACTTGAATAGACACAAGGGGACTTAGAGGTCACCCCTGGCTTCAACTAATTATTCAAGAAGAGGGGTCATGGCAGGAAAGGTAAATGAAATAAACAGCAAGAGGTGGTTATTCATCATCTTAGAAAATGTCATTATTTTTCATTGTTGTACTTCCATACACAGGTAGGAGAGAACAGGTATTTTTATTATTATAAAAATTACAAGTAGGGATTAACATAATAAGACTTTTAACAATATAATCTGGCATTTAACTGCCTTTATAATTAATGAACCTTACTTAAATCCCAATTGTCGACAAACCACGTATGTATTCAGCTCAGTCCAGCCATCATCACAGACAGTTCCCCACTGGCCTCTGTAATATACCTCCAAGCGACCCTCATGGCTGCCTTTCCCACCTGCAAGTCTGATGACCCCATCTGTGATAAAGAGGAGACACAGAGACTAAGCAAATCAACTTTCAAAAAAAGGCAAAACAACATTTGTATTTCACAAGAAATATCACCATATTCAGGCCTCACTCTAGGCCTTTTGCTAAACTTACATTACATCTGTGCTAAATGACCCTCTGAGGTTATCATGTTGTTTCTGAAGTTTGACGTAACACATTTCTGTCCTAATAAAATATTCTTTCCAGCTGGGTGTGGTGGCTCACTCCTGTAATCCCAGCATTTCGGGAGGCTGAGGCAGGTGGATCACCTGAGGTCAGGAGTTCGAGATCAGCCTGGCCAACATGGTGAAACCCTGTCTCTACTAAAAATACAAAAATTAGCTGAGCATGGTGGCGCATGCCTGTAATCCCAGCTACTTGGGAGGCTGAGGCGGGAAAATCGCTTCAGCCCAGGAGGCAGAGGTTACAGTGAGCTGAAATCGCACCACTGCCCTCCAGTCTGGGCAACAAAGCGAGACTCCGTCTCACGGAAAAAAAAAAAAATATATATATATATATATATCTTTCCTTTTTATTGGTACCCCTATTCTCTATGTAGAAAAATATATCCTGATATAATTCCAAAGTATCTATTTAGACTTCTCTAGATTAAACAACATTTGGGAAATTTCATATAACTTTAGTCTCAAGTCAGAGCAATACATGTCATTTAAATTTAAAAAGAAAATACAGTAACTTGGAAATAGCTCAGAATTTTAACTGCAAATGAAAAAAATACTGAAATAGGATGACAGAAAAAAACTATTCTGGATAAAAGACAGTCTGTCATGTCAATGCATATATTATTTGTTAGGCATTCATGAATTATAAAAACTGGAAGATATGTCTCGCCTTTGTTCTTTTATTGATAATACAGATCTGAATTTGAATCTTATTAACTCAAATAATAATTAATTTGCCTATAATTCTATAAAGAGCTTCTAAGCAGATAAACAGTATAATAAATTTAATTCCAAAAAAAGTAGATTTAAAAGCCATTTCCAACCAAAATAATCCAAAAACTCTCAATGAAACATATAAATAATCTTGGGTAAGGGTCATACTTTTCATAAATCTCAGGGATCTTTTAAAGTAAAGGTCTCTGAGCAACAAACCTTTTATTAATATAATATTTTACTGTCTGCAAAGCATTATGACATGCATTATCTCATCTGAGCATCACAGCAATGTTACAAGACTATCCTCATTTGAAGGAGGGGAAAATGGCAGTTCAAGAAAATGAAGTGCTCTGGCTAAAAATCTGGCGTAAATACATTTCTATGGTGTATTAATGTGTTAATCTGCTAATAAAAACAACTGCATGTATAGAAGTATGTGAAGAGAATGATATAAATCTGGTATTTCATAGATTCTAACAAGTTATTGATTTTCACTAAAGAAATATGTAAACAAAACATTTTTTTCTTCAAGTTCTTTTTACTAAATGGTTTCTGATGAGTCAGTTTCTCTTGCCTTTTCCATTTCCTTCTTCTTCTCCCTAAACATGTAAGTACATACACGCACACCAGTTTGTACTCACATATGCCCTTCTTACAACACATGACACATTTTGACAGGCATGCTGTCATTTGGAATAGTCTGAAAATTGTGCATAGCAAAGTTAACTTGGTTTCTTTCACAGTGTGCTTTAATCAACAATTGCATCAATACCAGCTCTAAACACATTCTGAGTCAAGAAACGTTAATAGATGAATGGACTAAAGATGGAATTATTACACCTAATATCTGGAATGTATCACTGCACACTGATTTTGACTATTGGGTACTATATACTGCAACAAAGTCCTATTTTCTGATCTAGCTTTACAAGACTATATAGCCTTAAATTGAAAAATTCAGGAATAACTATGAATAAAAAGATGGTACTTTAATATACGGTTTGCATTCTTTTTGTTTGTTTTATTTGGTGTATTTATTTGTATGCTCATTTGGTAATGTTGAAATTAAGGAGAAGGGAAGCTGTGGCAGGCCGACATGGTACTGGGGGCAAGAACTGGTACACTAATGGAGTGAAATCCTTACCTGTTAGAGGGGTACAGGACACTCCAGCATCTTCTTTATGGCCACAGTTATGCTCTCCCCAGGAGCTCTTTGGACACTGCTCAATTGAAAGCTCATTCCCAGTGCAGCGTACTTCATCCAACATAACTGGGCCAGACCCTTCCCCAAAATATGCCTGATGCCATGCTTTGGCAATGCCACTGAACAAATAAAAGAATGTAAGGATTCTGGATTAGATACCAAAGATTGGTCTTTTATTTTTTTTTTGTCCCTAGTAAAAGCATTATTATTAATCCCCACTTATTAATTCACTTCACAGGTCATGCATGACTTTCTGTATTTCTTTTTTGTATATTTGTTTGTTGTCCTTTATATTTTCAGCCATTACCCATGTTTCAAAGTTAGGTACTGCCCAATATTTAACCTCCTTTTCTTCATTAGTAATGGAACTTCAGATTTTTAGGAGGACAATGGCTATCCAAAATTAAAATCACATTTTGGCCTCCCCTCCTTCTTGATGACTAAGTTTGTTTGTTTGTGGTAAAATAAACATAACATAAAGTTTACCATTTAAAACATTTTTGGTTTATAGTGCATTAAGCACCTTCACATTATTGTACAATATCACTACCATCCATCTCCAGAACTTTTTCATCATCCCCAAATAAAATTGTGCTCCTATTTTAGACGCCTAAGTTTTGTTTTTCTTTTTGTTATGTTTGAGTCATAGTCTCACTCTGTCACCCAGGCTGGAGTGGTGTGGCATGACCATAGCTTACTGCAACCTTTAACTCCTAGGCTTGAGCAATCCTCTCACCACAGACTTTTGAGTTGCTAGGAATACAGGTATATGCCACCACACCTGGCTAATTTTCTTTTTATTTTTTATTTTGAAGTGGTGGGGTTTCAGTATGTTACCCAGGCTGGTCTTGAAATCCTGGCCTCAAGCAATCTTCCTGCTTCAGCCTCCAAAAGTGCTGGGATTCCAGGTGTGAACCACCGCACCCTGCCATAAGTTCTGACCAGTGATATTTAGGTGGAAGTACCATGTATTACTTGTAGGAAGTATCTTCCTTCTCCTGACTGCAAGGATGGCTGGAGCCTAATAAGTTATCTTGGGCCATAGGGTCCCATACTAAGGATGACAGAAATGCAAACAAGAGAGATTCGGGGCCTTAATAATTGCGGAACCACCAAACTACTCTTGAGCTGGCTACCTCTAGTCTCTTTTCCTAAACATAAAATACACTCGACTCTAAACTTGTTTAAACTGCTGTTATTTTCAGTTCTTTGTTACTCACAGCCAAATCTACTTCTTTTTTAATGTTGTTGTTATTTTGAGACAGGGTCTCACTCTGTTGCCCAGGCTGGAGTGCAGCAGCGTGATCATGGCTTAAGGCAGTCTTGACCTCCTGGGCTCCAGTGATCCTCCCACCTCAGCCTCCTCAGTATCTGGGACTATAAGTGCATACCACCGTGCCAGTGAATGTTTTATTTTTTGTAGAGATGGAGTCTCATTATGTTGCCCAGCCTGGTCTTGAACTCCTGCACTCAAGCAATCTTCCCACCTCAACCTCCCAAAAGTGCTGGGATTACAAGTACGAGCCACCATGCCTGACAGCCAAGTCTATTTCTAACAAAAACATCTCTTTACTGAAGTTTATTTGTAGTTAATTTACTTCTCCCACAATTCAAAGCAATAGCATATTCTTAGAACCCCAGATTTAAGTGAAGATCACAAACCTGTCAAAGTGATTAATAATTTCAGATATTGCATTTTCAGTCCCTTTTAGGCTTTTAATTTTTAGACTATAGCATTTATATTTTTAGTTTGTTTTTCAATGATACTGCATCTACTCCCCCATTATTTTAGCTGCTCTTTTCTTATAACATTATAACTTGAGAATTTACAACAAAAATATATTGAAGAAAAAAAAGTGTGCTAAATGGCTGTAATACCCCACTAATGGTAAAGTCTTAGATACCAATTTTGCGGCTAAAAAGGAGCCTGATTCACTATTTCTACTAGATAACATGGAAGTTTCTTTTAAAAGAACATGCCTAAGAAAACAAAAATATCTAAAAGTTAACACCTATTTTAATATCATTAGAGGGCCAGACACAGTGGCTCACGCCTGTAATCCCAGCACTTTGGGAAGCCAAGGTGGGTGGACTACTTGAGCTCAGGAGTTTGAGATCAACCTGGGCAACAGGGCAAAACCCCATCTGTACAAAAACATACAAAAATTAGCCAGGTGTGGTGGCACACACCTGTGGTCCCAGCTACTCGGGAGGCCAAGGTGGGAGGATTGCTGGAACCCAGGAAGTCAAGGCTGCAATGACCCGTGATCATGCCACTGCACTCCAGCCTGGGTGACACAGAGAAATCCTGTCTCAAAATAATAATAATAATAACAACAATATCATTAAAGCAAATGCTTAGGGAATGCTCCGTCATCACCTGACTCACTTTGAGTTTAAAATTCAAAGAGTGTGCCAAACTCAAAATTTGAGTTTAAAATTCAAGAGGAAGGATAAAAGAATATTATAGGAGGTATAGAGGAAGCTGAGGAAAAGAAGATGGCTTAAGCAAAATATTTTCATGGAGTTAACATTTTAAAATTTAGAATCCTGGCACTATCTGATACTTGTAACACAGTGGACTCTGAGCAATCTGCCCCAACAAAAATTAAAGACTAATATCTAGAACTAATAGGACAAATGTGAGGAAAACATTTGGAATTCTAACACATATAATATTGGAGTCCTAACACAAAGGAATCCTAACACAAATGATATTGTCAAAATGACAATTTTGTGAGTGAATTTGTTTGTTTTGCTAAGGGAAATGTAATGACAAAACAGAAAGTCATGTCTACTCTGGAAAGAGTCAATAAATGCTTAATTAATAGGATTGTTCTAAATAAAGTTTTCAGCTGTTTCAAAGTATGTCTATATGCCTAGAGAAGAGTGCACTAATCATGTATAAATATTTGTATATTACTGACCATGTCAAAAAGCTTATTTTTTCCAAGCTCAATCTTTGAAGTGGAGAAGTATATGTGGACACAGACTCTCAGCTTCCAATCTGGGCTGTACCTTCAACAAGCTGGGCTACCTTGGGGAAGTTACTAAAACCTTCCAGGCTTAGGATGCAAAGCTGAACACAGGGATGATAACGGCTAACTTGCAGGGTTGTAGGAATTAAACTGATGCAAAGTAGGAGCTCAATAAATGCTGGTTCCCTTCCCTCTTCTGGCACGTTAAGGAATCCCCACGTACCCCTGACAGTTGATAAATAACATATTTTTCACTGCTAAGCCATTTATCTAAAGACCATTTGGTATTTAGTTTAAACAAACACCAAGGTTGTTACTTTCCTTCATCCCCAAAAAGTAAAGTTGGGGGAATGGTAAGGAAGGGAGAATCAATCAATATCTTAACATTTTCTGGTTTTAATGTTGTTTCATTTATTTATTTATTTTAAAGTAAATTTCAAAGAAATATTTATGGAAGTAATTTATGGCCTATAGGAGACTGAACAAATGCATGTATGTGTTATTTTTTATTATAGATTATAAGGTAACGGCCCAGAAGACTATTAAGTAAGCTCTGACCTGCATCACTAAACTTCAGATTTTCCTGTGGTAGAGATATATCTAATGAGAGGCAAACATTTTCAAATATTTGAATGCACATAAAGTATTTTATTTAAAAAGGCTGTTGTGCCAAAATAAAACGTTTTGTGCAATGAAAGCACTGATGTTCCTAGAAAAATATGTTTTAAATCAAAATGATCTTGCAATAGTAGTGTACAAGGCTATGAAAAAAATTCAACTGTTTTAAAGATTACTTATAGTAGAAAAAATATCCTCTCCCAGAGAAAACATGTTCATAAAACACTTACTATAGGCTGGGCGCCGTGGCTCACAGCTGTAATCCCCACACTTTGGGAGGCCGAGGCAGGTGGATCACCTGAGGTCAGGAATTTGAGACCAGGCTGATCAATGTAGTGAAACCCTATCTCTACTAAAAATACAAAAATTAGCTAGGCATGGTGGTGTCTGTAATCCCTGCTACTTGGGAGGCTGCGGCAGGAGAATCACTCAAACCTTGGAGGTGGAGGTTGCAGTGAGCTGAGATTGCGCCACTGCACTCCAGCCTGCCTGGGTGACACAGCGAGACTCCATCTTAAAAAAAAAAAAAAAATTACAATAAATTAAACAAGGGAACAGTTTAACACTCACAGAAAATAAAATTCAAAAGTCATGTAAAAGCTGTAATTCCCACAATTTGGGGATGGAGGCTGAGTTACTGAAATGTATTATTTGTAATATGTTTATGAAAATACTAATATTGGTTGAAAGAAGAAAACTGCTTGGAGTTGTGTGCCTGAGACCTGTGGTTCCTTTTTACAGGGAAGATACAGGATAGGAGAGAAGAAGCCCTATGCCCTAGAGGAGAGGTCAGCAAAATATGACCTGTGCACCAAATCAGGTATGCTATCTGTTTTTATATTGCTTGTGAGCCGAGTGGTTTTTCAATTTTATAAACGCCAGGAAAAAAAAATCAAAATAAGAATATAATTTGTGATGTGAAAAATCAAGTGAGATCCAAATTTTACTGTCCAGAAACCAAGTTTTATTGGAATGATGCCACACGAATTCCTAAGTTATTGTC
The DNA here is from genome assembly GCF_000001405.40 of Homo sapiens. Classification (NCBI taxonomy): domain Eukaryota; kingdom Metazoa; phylum Chordata; class Mammalia; order Primates; family Hominidae; genus Homo; species Homo sapiens. The sequence continues at coordinate 118,323,037 of NC_000004.12, forward strand.
TATGGCTGCTTTCATGCTACAATGGCCCAGCTGGGTAGTTGCAAAGTCTATTTACTCTCTGGCCCTTTACAGAAAAAGTTTGCAGACCCCTGCTCTAGAGGAAAGAGATTAATGAAAGCAAATATGGAAACTGACTTAGAGAACACTGAGAGTTGAAGGACAAAACAGGAGGAGACAGGATCACTGACAGAGAAGCCAGATAGGAAAGCTCTAGAGAAAGGCAGATTAACAGCCTTCTTGGATCTTTGCCCTGAGATAAATGCCACCAAAAAAAATCTATTAAGGAAAATTTCAATGGGTATAATTCATTGAGCCATGATTAGGTGCTATAAGGAAACCTGAGACCAATACGGAAGAATATAAAATTTGATCCCAAAGTGATAACAAAAAGATGAAATCCAGATGGCTTAAATATAGGTGGAAAAAAAAGAAAAGAAAGAAAGGCGGGAGGGAGAAAGAAGCAAAAGGAAAAAGGAAGAGAGGAGGAGGGAGGGAGGGAAGGAAGAAAGAAAAGAAAACTAAAAAGTTACTAGACTAAAATATAGGAACATAGTTTTTATAACCTTGGATGTAAGAGAGAATTCCTAGGAAACCCAGAAGTCAGAAAACAAAAACCAAAAAAGTTAAATTCAACCACATACAAATTGAAAACTACCATACAGCAGAACACACCATAATCAGAGTCAAAATGCAAACCAATAGGCTGGAAGAAACATTTGCAATTTGCAAAAAAAAACTCCTAGAAATGAATAATAGTAATAACTTGTTTTTTATATATATATATACACACACACACATGCACACACATTTCAGTTACAGTTTACTTATATAAATATGTGTGTGTGTGTGTATATATATCTAGATAGATAGATAATTTTTTAAAGACAGCATCTGGTTCTGTCACTAAGGCTGGATTCCAGTGGGACAATCTTGGGTCACTGCAAACTCTGCCTCCCAGGCTCAAGCCATCCTCCCACCTCAGCCTCCCCAGTAGCTGAGACTACAGGCACATGCCACCATGCCTGGCTAATTTTTAAAATTTTTGCAAAGATAGGGTTTCTCCATGTTGCCCAGTCTGGTCTCAAACTCCTGAACTCAAGCAATCTGCCCACCTCAGCCTCTCAAAGTGCTAGGATATTATCACATTTTAGTAAAAGACAAAGCAATCAACTTAAAAAAATAGACAATAGAGAGGATCCAACTATGCACAGAAGAAGTAATATCCATGGCCAATGACCACAGGATAAGAAGCTCAAGATCACTAGTGGTAAAATTAAACAATAATGCATGCTTACCTATCACATTTTTGGAGATTTAAAATATTAATATAACTTTCATACAATTTTTAGGCAAAAAGACAAGCAACTGAAGGCTTTTTAATTCCCTAGAAAAAGTAACAAATCCTAAAGTCATGCTTTGGCTGAGAATACTCTGATAGGCTGAGAAAGGGGAGCTGAAGTATATTGTGTTTCAAATACATTAATTATTACATGACACACATTCAAGGAAAAAGCAAAAGTTCTGGTTAATTGCCTTTGAACTTGGCCCGTTCCTTAAAGGAGATTACAAGATAAGAGAGTACAAGCCCCAAACATTGACTCTGGGGATGCTATGTATTTTTAAATCCTCTCTGAAAACACCACTTGGTGCAAAGGACATGGTTTCATTCTTTTGTTTTGTTTTTGCTTTTGTTTTTTGAAGACAGAGTCTCTGTCGCACAGGCTGGAGTGCAGTGGCACAATCTCAGCTCACTGCAATCTCTGCCTCCCGGGTTCAAGCGATTCTCCTGCCTCAACCTCCTGAGTAGCTGGGATTACAGGCGCCCACCACCACACCCACTAATTTTTGAATTTTTAGTAGAGACAGGTTTCACCATGTTGGTCAGGCTGGTCTCGAACTCCTGACATTGTGATCCACCCGCCTCAGCCTCCCAAAGGATTACAGGCGTGAGCCACCACGCCCAGCCCAGTTTCATTCTTTTTCATGGCTACATGGTATCCTATGGTATACACATGCCAATATCTCTTTATCTAATCCACCATTGATGAGCAGCAACATGGACAAAGCTGGAAGCCACAATCCTAAGTGAATTAACACAGGAACAGAAAACCAAGTACCACATGTTCTCATTTATAAGTGGGAGCTAAATATTGAACACACATGGACATAAATGTGAGAGCAACAGACACTGCAGGCTACTGCGGGATGAGAGACGTAGGTTGAAAAACTACCTATGGGTACTATGCTCATTACATGGGTCCAATATACCCATGAAAAGCTGAAAATTAAAAAAAAAAAAAAAACACTACCTGGGTGTTTTATTTTCTTCTCATCCATTTCTGTATGTTTATTATTTTAATGATACAAAAATGTTTAAAATAAACTAATCAGAATAACCAGCAGAATAAACTTGAGAACAACAACAAAAAACATTAACCAGGAAACTATAATGTAACACAAAATCAGGTTTTCTGGCTAACTTTTTAGTTTAAGTTAAGAAAACAGTATTTACATATTCACACATTGCTTCAGCCAGTCACTAGCATTTCCTGGTACTCAGAACTATGCTGGCTTTCAAGAGAATACCAAAATAATTGATGACTCTGCTTTTAAAGAGTCATGAATTACAATACTGAGGAAATCAACAAAAACTCGTGAACTGTTCAAGTAAATGTGAATTTGATAAAGCTGTGTGTTCTCTGTCCTTCATGGAAATTATTTCCATACCAGCCCCAGCAGTTCATCTGTAATAAAAGCTCTAGTGTTGTCTAGTTTTTTACCCTCTGATAATCTGTAAATAAATTTTTGGGCAGAGATACTCTGATCTAATACCCTGAATTATTTTCTGTGTAAAGATATTTGACCTACATAACAGCAATCCTCAATAAACACTTACTGAACTGGTTCTATTTCCAATCCCTATTCAAAACATTCTTAAATCTAAATTTAGCTAATCAAATTGTATTAATACAAAATTTTTGCTTTTGTTTCCCCCTTACATACACAGAAAAAGGCCAAATAAATGGCACCATCTGATTAACTCAATCCCCAGGATTAGCTACTGCTTTGAGGTAGACCTAGAATAGAGTTAGGCCATTCTATTGTACAACATAATTATTTATTAGGTTATAAAAGATTGGCTCTTTAACTGCAATTATCAGTTTGTGCCATATACAGAGTTTGTAATCCATGGATGAAAAAACTCATTTTTAATATCCTAGATTACTCTCTAGAAAACAATCCCCGCCATCTCCAATAATGATGTTTGATGTGTATCAAATGCTTCCTGCATGCCTGGCACTGGTCTAACAGTGCTTTTAGACATACTAACTAATTTCTTCCTCCCTGCAACCGAATGATGCTATTATACCAAATTTACTGATAAGGAAACAGAGGCTCAAAAGTTAAATAACTTGTCCAACATTACACTACTACTAAATGGTAAAGTTTGTCTGACTACAGAGCAGACCGAAACACTGAGCATTCTTGCAGCCTCCTGGAACGCTGTCAATTGATGGCTGATGGCACCTCAAATACAGTCTATCTAAAACACGGTCACTATCATTTTCTTCTTAAATTTAACTTTCTCTCTTGACTTCCTTATTTCTTTCAGCCCTATATTTGTATTTATTCTTATTAACACCTCGCCATTTTACAAATAATGTAACATAACAGAAAAAATCCTAAATTGGGAGCCATAAACCTCAAGACTCTGCCTCCCACTAACAGACTTGGGGAATATTGTGTAATCTCAGTGGGCCTAACTTCCTCAACTGTTAAACAAGTTATCTTTCCTGCTCAATAATTCCATATACCAGGCTATCTTTGTTGTAAAGTTTATACCAGGGGTGTCCAATCTTTTGGCTTCCCTGGGCCACATTGGAAGAAGAAGACTTATCTTGGGCCACACATAAAATAGACTAACACTAACAATAGCTGATGATCTAAAATAAATAAACAAATAAATAAATAATGTTGTAAGAAAGTTTACAAATTTGTGTTGGGCCACATTCAAAGCCGTCTTGGGCTGCATATGGCCTGCGGGCTGTGGGTTGGACAAGCTTGGTTTATACAATGTTTTTTAAAATTTAATGAACCGTAAAATAAAAGAGCAAAGAAAAAAAATTTTTTTTTTTGAAACAGGGTCTTACTCTGTCACCCACGCTGGAGTGCAGTGGTGCAACTGCAACTCCCTGTAGCTTCAACCTCCTGGACTAACAATTCTCCCACCTCAGCCTCTGAGTAGCTGGGACCACCAGTGCGTGCCACCACAACCAGCTAATTTTTTTTTTCTTGTAGAGATGGGAGTCTCACTATGTTGCCAAGGCTGGTTTGGAACTACTGGGCTCAAGCAGTCCTCCCACTTCAGCCCCACAAAGTGTTGGGATTATAGGCGTGAGACACCATGCCTGGCAAAAAACAATTTTTAAAGAGTAATTTATATGGGAAGAATTTGTATTCTACTACTCAATAATATGGTTCTATATAATTTTAGAGCAAAAAAGTAAAAATGAAAGCACCCTAAAAGGAAAGAAAGTATCCACAATTTTTAAATTCCCAAGTAAATTATGGCACATCCACAAAATAAAATATGATCTCACAGTACAAAGCTATGCTTTTAAGAGTTTTTGAAAGACATGGAAAGTGCTTTTAATGTTAAGCACATAAAAAGGAACTTCAGTTAAAATGTCTCCAACTAAACTTCACTGGGTACATATGCGTTCTCAAGTTATCTAATTTTCTAACATCTGGCTGCCTCCTTTCCCGCTGCTCATCTTTCTCCATGTTCTGGGTTAATCAAATTTAAGTATCTTAAGTATAATAATTCCTTTTGTATTTAGGAAGCTTGCCAGCTACCAAAATATACAGACACCATTAAAAGATGAAGGTTAACAATGACAGCATCTCATAAATAAACTGTAACCACTACTCCAGAAAAGCATGATGTAGTTTCCCTGTGGGAATTCAACAAGGCAGATAAAACTGAGATGAAATTTGCTTAAGAATGAATCATAAATTGAGACAAGCAACAATTATGTGTCTGCTATCAATCCTGTGCCATTAAAAAACAATCCTCATCTGAAAGTACTTAGCCTTTAAATGAGCAAAACAAATTATAGAGAAAGAAGAGTCGTAGAGTACTGCTTTATTGCAAACTTATGAGAGAACTATAAAATCAAGTGCAAGAAAAGTAAACGAAGAATGTCAGCTCAGAGCATCAGAGTACTTATAATAAAAACAAATCTCTATAAAGCTGGATTGTTATTTGTTACAAGTGCTTGTGGAGGATTTTTGCTTGTATATTTTAATCACTTTTCCAAAGAATCCCCTCATAGGAAAAGCAGCAATGAGCTAGTGTTTGAGAAAGGCGTTAATACTTTACTTAACCCATGAGTGTGTTCAACATTAATATGGCCTTCCTTGTGATTCTATCTCTATATTTTTTCTAGGTAACTGATTATCCTTGTCAATATGGCCTTTGTTTAAAAACTGTTTCTATTTAAGTGAAAAAAATATTTGTCTCAAGGAAGAACTCTACATTAAAACAACAACAAAAAAAAAAAGAACTCTACATTACAGCATGAATTTCTATTTTTATATTTTAGAAAGAGAGTCTTGCTGTCTCATCCAGGCTGGAGTACCGTGATGTGATCATGGCTCATAGTAGCCTCAACCTCTTGGGCTCAAGTAATTTTCCCACTTCAGCCTTCCTAGTAGTCGGGACTACAGTTGTGCTCCACCACACTTGGCTAATTTTTTCTTTTTCCTTTTCTTGAAACGGAGTCTTGCTCTGTTGCCCAGGCTGGAGTACAGTGGTGCAATCGTGGCTCACTGCAACCTCTGCCTCCTGGGTTCAAGCAATTCTCCTGCCTCAGCCTCCTGAGTAGCTGGGATCCCAGGTGCCTACCACCACACCCAGCTAATTTTTGTATTTTTTGTAGAGACGGGGTTTCACCATGTTGGGCAGGCTGGTCTCAAACTCCTGACCTCGTGATCCACCCACCTCGGCCTCCCAAAGTGCTGGGATTACAGGTGTGAGCCACCGTGCCCAGCCTATTTAAAAAAATTTTTTTGTAGACACAGGATCTGGCTATACTGCCCAGGCTAGTCTTCAACCTATCCTCCCACCTTGGCCTCCTAAAGCATGAGCCACTGCACCTGGCCACAACATGGATTTTTGGAATCACTTCAGTAACTGTAATGTAACTAATATTCAGTGTGTCACTTAAATGTTCTATGGATTTTTCTAAGCAACAAAAGCTTGCCTTTACCCACAAATATATTAATAATCAAAAATGCCTTTTACCTTAAACTTAGAATAACCCATATTGTAACTGATAATATTAAAAATGCTATTACTATACCCTAAAAGTTCTTAATATTTTTGGCAAAGACATAGGTTTCTTAGTAACTCACATGAAAATCAATTAGCACGTCACTGAACACATAACTGATAACCCAGTGAATACATATATGTACACATTAGAGTGTATTAAAAATATAGAAGTTCATAGATACAGCTAACTAAATAGAAGTTCCAGATGGAGGAATAGTGTTTGGTGCTCTGTCATTACCAAATGCTGGTTACTTTGAATGTAAACAATAAAGATGTTTAACAACATCTTTAAAATATAACTACCTAATTAGAGTGCCCTTGATAGCCAATGTATATGGTACTTACTATGTGTGCTAACTGCTTGTAGACACAAAACCCTATAAATTAAGAAATACGTTATAGATGAGAAAACTGCAACTAAGAGATATTCTGTAGCTTTTCGCAACTCCAAAAATGGGATTTAAATGCAGGTTTTTCAGCATCCAGAACACACGCCCATAATCATATGCTATGCTGACTCCAACAGCAGGCACCGGGAAACTTTGAGAAAATTGCTCGTGAAATTGATACCCAGTCAAAACACTTTTAAAAAATCTTGTCTCATAAACGTACTTGTTAGTTTTTTCAAAAGAAACCAAGATGCCATATTCCTAACCAACCCAAAGAAAATGATCATACCATCGTAAACAATGCCAGTAATCACAGCAAAACCTGTTGACACAGGATCTGCTGTGTTTGTTCTTGTCCCACATGTGAACTATAAATTAGCATTTAGGTCCCATAGTCAGTTTCAGGGGGAAATCTAACTTTACAGTAAAGGATCAGGCTGATGTCACTTAAACCAGTGCTCAATTTCAGCTTCATTTGTGGGGAAAACTAGAGCTTTTCATGACTCCTGGTGAAATGCAAGATGAGAATACATTACCTGTGATGATTTCCAGACAAAATGTTTGCTTTGATCTAATCAAGCCTTTAAACCTAAACTCTAATTTTATGAATTACAAGAACCAGAAGAGTAAACTAAATGACACCAGAAGGAAAAAAATAAGACAAATTCAGAAGATGGGACAGTCTCCAAAACAACTGGCCTTGGCTCTTCAACAAATCAGCATTATGGAAAAACCAAACCAAACCAAAAAAAAACAGCAACAACAAAAAACCCAGGCCTTTCTAGAGTAAAAGACACTTAAGGAACATAATATCCAGATTGGTCTTGGACTAAATTCTGCTTCAGACAAGCCATCTGCCAAGGACACTGTAGGGGCAACTCTGAAAATTTGAATAAGATGAAGTATTAGACAATATTAAAAATGATTACCAATAATTAGTTGTGATAATGATAATTTGGCTACATAGAACAATGTTCTTATTTGTAAGAGATGCATGCTGAAGTGTTTATAGACAAAGTGTTAAAGTGTCTATATTTTACTTTAAAATACTTCAAATATAACATAGAATTTTGAAAGAGAGCCAATTATTTTTAAAAATTACAAAAAAATTGAACTGTAAAAATTGTTCAAGGTTCAACAATCATGCTCCAGTCAAGGATTATGGTTAACTGAACACAATGAACAGGGAAGAACAGGCCTCCCATCATTGGCCCCCTCAGTGCTAAATGAAATATTTTTAAATTCTGTAGTAAATGATTAACTAAATGAAATATTTTTTAAAATCTGAAGAAAATGATTAACTTTTAAAAGATCCCCCAATATAATTTTAGAGAAACTTTCAGGCTTGTTATACCAATGTTCAGAATCACTAAACAGAGGGATTAGAAGGCCTAAAATTATAATACTCCAGAATAATCCCAACTGAGGCAACCTGGAATGTTGATTTTCAGACTGCTGTTTTCATGACATAGGCTTCCTTTCCAACCCTACAGGGGAATTATCTCCTTTGTACATTAATAAATATCCTTTGTTCTAAGCACATACCTAACAAGGAAGTGCAGTTCAAAAGTTTAGACAACATTTCATGACTAGAAGTTAAATTTGAGTTACAAGCTAACAACCAGTTTTTCATCATATGGAATTTGATTAAGTCACTATAGTTTACAGTGCTGGTTACTACCTGGGAGTAACGTAAAGACTACCAATGAGAAGTAATAAAAGCTTAGATTCTTAGTGACATAAAATCAGCCTAATTCAGACACAAGCAGGTTAAACCTACAGAGTACACGTTAACTGCTCTTCAGGAAGCCTACAGCCCTACTACAAAGATCAAAAGGTAACTTGTCCCATTTGTTCAAGGAAATGTGCAATTTAAACAAACAGCACCTGCCTTTGGGTATGGAAATAATAAGATTCAAAAGTTTAAGCAAAACAAGAGTAGTAAAAACAAACCTGAGGCCCAGCTGCCTGCAGATCACTTCTGCATCGGCATCATCCCATTGGTCATCACAAACGGTTCCCCACTGGCCAGCATGGTAGAGCTCCACCCGGCCTTCATGCACACTGCTGCCTCCAGCAAGGCGAATGATGGGGAACGTTGGGCCTGTGCAATGTGAAGTTAAAAATAAGCAAAACCTATGCATTTACATTGATTGATAAGATTAGGTATATTCTATATTTTTTGCCATTCTCAATAATTAAATAATATTTATAAAGCCACACCAGTGATATGGACATACGTATATATATCTAATATATTATGGTAATCTTGGCCAATTAAAATATCCCAAATTGAATTATATGAATACAAGTAACTCTTAGGAGGAAATGTGTTTAAATTCACTTTTCCCCAACAACCTCAGAAACTAGAAAAGGCACACTCAAAAGCTGCGCATTACTGGAAATGTGTTTGATTTGTATAGTATTATGGTGGTGGCATTGATTTTTTTTTATTTACAGTAACTTGAGCATTACCAATATGTCATTATTAAGAATGACACTTATGTCTATAACATACTTGTTTTCAGTATAGAATTATCTATGCATTTGTAGAAATCAAGTCAAAGTTAATATCTAATTCGTTAAAACAAGTTGCTGGACATCATGGCCAGTACCTCAACAGAACAATATTGAAACTTCATTTGGGCATGAATCAGCTCATATCCGTTTTCGCTGATAAGGACCATCAAATGTGACTACCGTCTCATAATCTACAGCCCTGATCTAGCCCTTGTCAGACTGTGAACTTCTCTGTCTCTTCTCTGCCCTGGATAAGACAGCACACTAAGGGACTTCCTATTACATTGCCTAATTTTGTCTTCCTGAGAGTATTTACTTTTATCTAAAATTGTCACTGATTTACTGTTTACATGTCAATTGTCTCACTCCTCTTGGCTAGAATGAGGACAGAAATACTGTGTTCCTTTACACCTATGTATTTCAGGTACCTAGTATACAGAGGCATATAATAATTATTTATTGACTGCCTCAACTGACAAGCAATGCTAAATAAACCTAGAAAAGACACTCCAAACAAGAAAAAATAATTGGCAACATCTATTCATTAATTTCTGATTAACAAACAGATATCAGACATATGCCTTGTACAAGGTGTTATGATCAGTGCTGCAGGGCATTCGAAGAGACACCAGACAGACCCGGCCCTCAGGAAGTTTACTGCCTAAGGGCGTCGATAAAAGGAGTACAGACAAGAGATTATCAAAAAACCCTACAGTGGTTCAGAAGCAAAGGACCTTACTCATGGTTGGGGGTACTTAGGGAATCACTTGTGAAAAAGCTGTTTTTTTAAGAGGGCCAAGATAGATGGGATTTGGAAGTCAGAGATGAGGGAAGCATGTTCAGGCCACTTGAACATTATGAACAAAAGAAAGAAGCACAAAGCTGAATGTGTCTGGCAAAGAGTAAAGCAGTCTAATTTTACTAGAATAAAGGACGTAATATGGTAAAAATTAACAGGTTGGTCCTCTAATATGAAGTCTAGTTGTACTTTTTGCCAAATACTAATCATTTATCTGTATGAAATATGTTTCTAATTTTCCACAGTTGTAGCAGTCAGTAAACGGCATTTGGATATTCACACTTAAATTCAAATATCATATTTGAGTTTTGTACACGTGCTGCCAAAGTAAGCACTCATATTTGAGTTTTGTAGCAGAAATTTAGATTAGTGACTATCTGCATATACTGTTTACTTGCATAAGTTAACTAGCACTTACAATTTGTTAATGGATAAAGACAGGTTTAATATATATGGCTGAATGATGGTAATATAATTCTCACAAATTATGATGTTTATTTTTCCTTTAAAAAGCTTACAAAATACAGAAAAACATGTATACATTTCTTAATATATTTTTCCCCACCTGTTAAGCTTGGAGAAAACAGAAAAACAAAAATTTTTAAGAGAAAGTTGAAAACCATCTAGGACCTAGACAGTTTATGGCATAACCACCTTTCACTTTCCTATGTTGTGTTTTATTTTAAAATGTGGTTTCTTTTTCTTTTTGGATGACTGTTAAAATATAAAAAATACAGAAAAGCACAAGGACAAGATTTAGTTAACAGCCCCATCCTTCCAACAAACACAAAACTCATTTGAAAGAAAATTCAGTAAATCAATGGACTCATATTTAGCTTATAGATAATTAAACTCCCCACGTTTTCATTTAGATTGCTGCTATTTTTTGTATCCAAGTTGCATGCAATCTTCTACTTTGAAATGTTGGAAAAGCTACAAGTACAGAATGACAAGACACTAAGTGTAATTCCCAAATTTAAGGGAAGTATACTAAAGATCTATCACTATCCCTTAAGGTGAACTCAATGTTCGCTGATTTCAGCTATACAACTCCACATTCTCATTTAATCTACCACGAGAGAATCTTTTTAAATTCTCACTTCTAATTTATCATAACTTTCTATATTTTATATATGTTTATAGATGACCATAAAATTATCTTTGCAACCAGAATATAAACAGATGAATAGATTATAGAAGGTGGAAGGAGTAAAAAATGTAGATAGATATCCTGAAAAAAAATTATAATTATTTTTAAAATTTTTTACTTTACTACTTGAAAAACATTTTATCAATCAGGTTGAGCATAGAGTAAAACCAATAATCTACAAACAGCAATAAATTATTGGGCCCAGTTCACATCATCCTTGAAGCAGCATTGGATTTAGCAAAAGTAGCATTACCCAAAGGTAGAGAACCAAAAGAAGAAAAGGGAAAACTTACAAGACATCAAGGTTTAACATATGCCTCTCCCAGTCAAAAAAAAAAGGATTATAGCTCTCAGAGTATACACCTGGACTATATCCCTCCATTGGCTCTTCCAGCCAATCCAGAGGAATTACTCCAAAATGGGTCTCTCTGTTTTGTGGTAGGAGCTTCCTTATTCTTCCCCCTGATACTTGTACTCAAACAAAAACCACTGCCCTGGGCTGACTGCTACCATTCCAAGTCCTGGGATATCTGGTCATGCTGCTATCACCAAGGAAAATGCAAAAAGGGATACCATGAGAGTATGGTGGCTTCAGGTTGTGATCATTCATTAAAATACACCATGGTACCCAGAAAACTCTTTCACCATCTTAAAGGCAGTTGTTCCTTCCTCTACTTCCATGAATATAAACATATCTGTACACTGAACCCATACTGATAATTACCACATACCTACTCTATGGAACTTGGAAGAAGCCCTCATTCAAGCCAACAATCCATTTTTAGGGAAGGTGCTCTCTACAGCCCCAAGAACACTGATGCCATAATTATATTGCATTACACAAAGTGAAAATATTTTGTTGTATTTGCTGTATTCTATATTTACTTTCATGATTATTTTCCAGCTTGATTCCATCATAATTTTCCATGACTAAAATATGTGTTTCATATACAATATATTATACAGTATATATATAACCTATAGAATATACATATTTATTTAAGCAAATTATATAAAATAGAAAATATGTTAAAAATGAGATACCACTGGAAAATCAAATGGAATTCAAATTAACAGTACTCATATTGAAGACTAATTAGATGGTAAAATATTTTGACTCAGACTTATTTCTGTAATTAAAGTCTTTAAGGAAATGATTATAACTAAGACACTTTCATCATCTGGAATCACGTTTAAAACATAATGAAAGTAAAACAACAGAACTTTTTTCTTTTTTTTACCATGGGAAAAGCTACACGTGACAGCAGCTGCCATCTTCTGAGGACACACCCCACCCTGCCAGATGTCTTTTTCACAAAGCAGTATATTTTCTTCATCTCCTCGGCAACGGACATTGCTCCAATAAATGGGAATAAGGCCCAGTCCAGAAAACGGGGTTTGTTTTGCTATTCCTTTTCCTCTGGAAGTACAATGAGCGATATTAGGTTTATCAAATGTAGGCAAAACTTTTTATCAAAACATTTGGATTTGAAAAAAAATGGAAGAAATCAACAAAGATGAATATGGAAGAAACAAAGAAAGAAAGAAGAAAAACACAAAAGACTACATCAGTTTCAAGGAAATCAAAACATCAGATCACAACGTGGTTTGCCTACTTATGGAATTCTTTTCATCAATCTTAAATAACTACTTTATGTGCCTTTACCACCAATGACTGATTTAGAAGAAAATGGCCAAGTACTGCAGACATAAAAAGTAAGGCTGTGTGCAAGAGGTGTGTCACGAGCTTCAGTGAGGCTTGGACTCCAGTCTGGGCTCAGCTAAAAGTCATGCCAAGCTGCAAGTAACTCGAAGGCTTTGTCTTCTAATGTGTCAAAAGAAAAATCTGGATGCTTGAAGATTCTTTCTGACTCTAACATTCTAGGCTAGCATTTTCAAAATTATTATTACTACATCTAAGCACAATAATATCACGGGAGGCAATCCATTTATAATTTTTAAAACCTTACACTGTATATAGTATTTGCTAGCAAGCCTTTGAAACCAATTAATAACATAGCAACATGCATCTCTTTCCTAACACCAGGAGAGTATTTTTAAAAGAAAAAATGAAAATAATAGCATACAGACGGGTTCTGCTTTTAGCTCATCTAATCCACATATTTTTGTAAGTAACCTCTGCTGTGTACAAACTGGCATTAAATTTTAAAAAAGGTGAAATGCTTATCTGATTAACATGGTAATCTCTACAACTGTCTCCATGCTGCAGCATTCCATCAACCAAACTGTAAATATTTGGGGTATATCTAAAATGTAAATGTGTCTTCACAGCAATAAAGCTGGGTTTCTCTGATTTTATCGTGCAATTCCTTTTTTTTTTAAATGGACTACTGAGAGATGATACTATATAAGCAGCTGGATCAGCTTATCTGAAGTTTGTTTGCAGAATAATAGTTTACATACTTTCATCAATCAAAAGACTAATAAACCACACAGTAGTTCACACCTCCACTATAGCGTTCTTGTTTCTTTGTATCTCACAGAAAATTTTATTCCTTTCTGATTTTCCGGGGTAATAAAAGCACAAATAGGTATGTATATAAAGGAAGACATTGACATCAGCCTACAAATTTATTACATCTCTTGCCCCTCAAAGGAAAAAGCATGAAATCATCATTCTTTGTGACCTGCCCACTTGCCAATTGTCTGTTTGCCAGACTAAGTATTCATGATAAAATCAGTAATTAACATTTCCAAGCACCATAACACTTTATAGGCTCTGGCCTTACTCCTTCGTTCATCCTGATTTATATCAACTCATCAAAATAATTAATTTTAATTTACTATAATAACCCTATTTATTGCTCTAACAGCATCAAAAATCTAAGCAAAATTTAGGCCTTCAAGCTTTGCTTTTATTCAATACTCATTCCTCAGCTTCCTAGTGGTAAGACAAGAGAAATCTGGTAAATTAAAGTTCTACTTCTTCATTTTGTGTCATCATATTACCACTCTGATTATTAATGCAAAATACTTGCAAACTGCAAACCTCTTTTTCAGTCTTTTAGACTGTATTTTTTTAATAACAAAATATTTCCATGCTTTCTAAAGACCTCTGGTGATAAAGGCCAAGAAAAAACATATGTTAAGTGCGCTTAGAAAATATAAAGGAGACACAAAAACAAAAGAATAAGAAAAACAAAAATAAAACCTGTTGTCCCAAAAAGAAGCCTTCTGCTCCTGGTGAAACTCTATGGCACAAGGAATAAAGATGCTGGGACTGATGAATTCAAAATACACTGACTTGTCGTAAAGACAGTGCCTAGGGTTACAGTGGAGCCAGTTCCCAGGCTGACAGCTCCTCAGGACAGCAGGACACTGCCAGAGCTAACAGAAGCTGCCATCTTCCACAAGACCTCCTCAGCACCAAAACCTAAGGCCTGGGACATCACCACTTCCCCATCAAGGACAAGGGCACAGGTAAACATTGCCCCTTTCACACACAAATGGAACTTGTGGGTGGATAAAAGTAGAAAGGTAAAATCAAATGACAACAACAAGTTAAGGCTGTGCTAATTAATTAATTATAATTAATAATTAGAATAATTATAATTAATTCATTATAATTCTAAGAAATTATAATTTTTAGAATCAAATTCTTAGAATTTGTAAAGGCATAACTTGCTTCAAAGGCCTCTGTATTTTGTTAAAGACAAAGACCAAAAGATGCTTTTAAATTTGCCCACTTAGTATTTGCCCATTTTCCTAGTTCAGCCCAGATAGTAATATGTGAAGTACATTTGCATGTGAGAGAATTCATTTCTTCCATTTGGGGCCCTTTCTTTATAGCTCTTTTGTGAAAAGTGAGAATGAGGAAAGTGACAGTAAGAAACAAAGATACAAGCTTTACAAAGCAATGACGGGCACCCAGCATTATTCTCAAATACTAGCTGACTGATTTGGTCAGGGATGGGTACACTCACCCCAGCTGCAGCTGGTGACAAATGACTGATGCATCAGAATCATCCCAGTGGCTGCTACAGACAGTGCCCCAAACTCCACTTGCATATACTTCCACTGTGCCTTCAAACTCATTTTTGCCGCCACGAAGTCGTACTGATCCTAAAGTGGAAAAGAATCCCAAAACCCTTTAATAGTAAATAATCATTTGAACATATTGAGCCAGTCCTGGGTTAACATGATTTTTAAACTTAAGTAGTAAGGGATCCAGGCAGAATGATTTAGCCTCCACTGTGTGTGGCATGTGTTTCTTCCTTTAAGTGAGGATTTAGCAAGCTCCTTCTTTTTTGTAATTAACATCCTGACGTCAATGCTAATTATATTTTCTTTTTTATCTAGGCAAACAGACAGTCCTATTATAATTTTTTTCTTTATTCCAATATCTCCTCATCAAGAAGCAACCACTGTAATTTTCAAAGGGGGAAAAAGTGGAAGAATGACTAATATCAGATCTTGTATCTCAAATAATAGATTACATCACATATGAAGTTTTTATCATTTATTACCTTCCTCTTCTCATGAGGTCATCAATAAGAAACACAGAAACAAAATTAAATGTTCTGCATATGAATTAGCTGTAATTAGCTGTGTTATATCTTCCATTTGATTTGTTCATCCACTAAGGAAAAATAAAATGTGTTTTCCCCTTTTAACTTTCAGTAGTAGTCATTAAAATTCTGAAGATTATGTCCATAATCTTCATTTTGAAAATACTGCCTAATGCTAGTCTTGGAAAAATAGCCACTAGGTAGTATGTATAATTGAATGCCCCTGGAAACTCACCTCCTCTAATATACCACACCCAAAGAGCTGTCCCAAAGTCCACAATTTAAGTCATTCCTTTCAGTCTTTAAAAGAGCCAAGATTTAAATTCAAGCACCCTTAGGAAAGATAACACTTTGGTCTTATTCCTTAAGTGTGGTTCAAAGACCTACATTCCTCTTCTCATTGGGACTGGTTCCAGAGCAGGCACTGGGAGGTAGCAAGTGGGACAACTGAGCAGAGACAGAATTAACCTCAGACAACTTAAGAATTGCATAAAATTCTGTTTAAAATCACCTACAATGGCCTTTCACAGGTAAGAAAATTAAGAAATTAATTTAAAAAATCAATCCTACCCAAAAAATCTAGCATAATTTGCATATTTCAAAGTTATGTATGGCTTCATAATAACTTCCAAAAATATTAGATTCACAAAGTATCCATTCATTTCATTTGTACAGGCTTAGTCATCCACCACTATTATTTTCCACATCATCATCCTTTAAAAATGTAAGCATTTAAGAAAAACATATTATATTTCTCACGACAAAAACAAAGTCTCATTTAATTCAAACAAAAGGCAATAATAAATGGAGGTGAGCATTGTACAGTACTGCCAAATCCTGACTATTCAGGAATGAACAGGGCATGGGTCATTCATATGACAAATCATCTAAAACTCATTCATATATTCTAAACTTCTTTAATTCACAGTAAGCAAGAGGAAGTCCTGCCTAGCTCAGTGAAGTATGAACTACAGAATATTTTTAAGGAAGTATTTCTGAAGAGTTCAACTGATCTTTAATGATTTTTTATATCACAAAATCTCTTCTACAGAGGTCCACGTAATATTATGCACATCACAAATGCCAGCAGTTTATTTTAGTCAAAGAATTCATTTGTTGACCTCAAGCAAACTTTATTTGAACTGATATTTAATCTATTATTTCTTTACTAATTCCTCCCCTTAATCACGAAGTTACTCAGGTCAAAAGGGCTGGAAGATAGTTCTAGTAATGAAAACAAACGAAATGTGTACTTATGCACATTAAGTGATCATAAGATTTAAAATAGTGTCTACATCAAAAAGCTATCAAGAAGAAATGATGTACACATGAATCTAAATGATTGAGGCACTTAGAGGTGAGAAGGAGAAAATCCTGAGTAAAGTATAATTATGACCATAACAATATAATAGCAATGATAGAGCTGGAAATAGTTTCCAGGTCAACTATCAGCTGCACCATCATTTTCTCTAACGCTCCAAGCACACTGTGAAAGCCTGGATTCATTTAGCAGTATCTGCTATATGGCAAGAAATGTGCAGTGCTCATCCAATTTTCCTTTAACAAATGAAGACAAATATTTGCAATTCTTAAAAGGCAATTTGCATGTCAATGACTAATGAATTCTATGTCAGATTCCACTCCAGGCACAGCCAGCCCCAACACACACCTTCCTAACAGTGTCCTCCACATGGTTTATCCTTTCCTAAGGGCCATAAAAATGTCTATTCGGAGGAAACCATCTACCTAGGACTCAGAATGAGTATTTATATCATTCTATAAAGCTCAATTCTTCTAATAATTATTTGAAACAACTTTTTTAAAAACAGCATTCAAATATGCTCTAAAAGACTAAAAGTTTGAACACACGATTCATTCTATTGTAGGAGCCAAGAGCACTTTCTCTGCCTTCTGAAGGTTCACTGACAAGAGGCATACTATTAGGATAAAAGGCATATAAATTTATTTGATCGTGGTTTTACGTGACGTGGGAGCCTTTAGAATGAGGACCCAAAGCTATAGGAGATACTGCCCATTTTTATGTTCAGGTTTAACAAAGTGTGGTCAGCCACGTAGAAATATGTTTGGACAAAATGGGTAGGATCTAATCTCAATAGACTGAGTGGGGAAACCCAGTAAGGCTTATCAGTTTAGATTTTTCTTGGCCTCTTTGAGTTTTGTTTTGTTTTTTTCTGGGTATGGAGAAGAACCCTCTCTGGAATGGGGGTCTTATGTAATCAAACAAGGTAGGTCAGATAAATTTTTAAGGCCAGTTTTTACACAGAAAGCTGGGACATGAGGGGAGTTGAGTAATATTTTTAGGTTTTATGGCTGATTGTGGAAACAAGGGGTTCTGGTGTCTATGGCCCACCTTGGAAAAGAGGAATTCTAGTTTCTGCGGCTAGCCTCAGGGGAAAATGAAGGGCCAGTGACAGGAAAGTAGGAAAAGATCAAAGGAAAACTTGTTTCTGAGACTACTTCTGAGGCCTTCATTTGGTGATATCATTTTCTGAGACCCAACACTATATACATTTAAGATAAGTAGTAGTTTTCATTTGTTTTCTGGCTTTATTTTGTTATTGCTGCATTTATTCTCTTAGAAAAGCTGAGGTGGTCCAGATCTTAAAAACTATAATTTATGGCTGGACACAGTGGCTCACGCCTGTAATCCCAGCACTTTGGGAGGCCGAGGTGGGTGGATCACCTGAGATTGAGAGTTCGAGACCAGCCTGACCAACATGGAGAAACCCCGTCTCTACTAAAAATACAAAATTGGCCAGGCATGGTAGCACATGGCTGTAATCCCAGCTACTTGGGAGGCTGAAGCAGGAGAATCACTTGAACCCGGGAGGCTGAGGTTGCGGCGAGCCGAGATCTCACCACTGCATTCCAGCCTGGGCAACAAGAGCAAAACTCCATCTCAAAAGCAAGCTAACCACAACAACAACAACAAAACTATAACTTATTTCCTTCTACTTATGGATGAAAAAGCTACAGACCAAAGCAACTGAGCAGTTACAGAGCCATGATCAACTATCTCCTAGTTCCCTGCCCTGGTTACTGACCTTCTACCTCCAAACTTAAGCAAAGACCCTGAAATACAATAAGTACCTTTCAAAACTTCAGATATTACTTTATGCATTATACCATGTTAGAGTTCACCATCCTACTGAAAATACTGCAACTAATCCACCAAATCTTGTATGGAAATAAGCCAACTAGGAAGAGAAGCATAAAGTAGCCTGAAGTTTCTTTACACCGTGGAACAGGAGAGAAGTGGCTTTCTGGTGCTCCTATAGTTGACGCAAATCCTCCAGTAGAAGCTGATTTGTCCCACAGCTGTACAAAGTTGTAGGAGGACTATGAACGTGTGGGTGTACACATTTGCACAAATGTATAGGTACACAATTACACAATGGAGAAAGGAAAATAACCTTAGCTCAAAGAAATCCGCAAAGCCCAAAGCTAACCAAGTGAACTAATTTCTATTGCTGTACCTAACAATAAAGTGATTTGCATAAATTGTAGACGAAATTCTTTGTTTGGCAAATATTGTTCAATTGTCCAATTTTTTATTATCAAGAATTGATCCCTCACCTTCCGCCCACATTCTCCTAGAGCAACCAACCATTCTTCGATACTCTAGTCAGAGCTTGTGTCCCTGGACCACACCGGAGTGTGTGTGATCCAGCGTTGCACTGTCTTAAAGTCTCTCAAGTGCCACGTGCACAGAAAATATTCTATTCTACATATTTCTATCTTTAAAATGCGTTAAGAATAATAATTTAAAGTCTCAAGCAGAGGTTTTAGGTCAATTATATTAAGCATTATAAACATGCAGACCAAACTAGTAAAGGAAGAAAGTCTGGAATTGTACCACTATGCGTGATGGCATGTCATGCAGTGGAGGCCCCAGAGTTCCTGAAATGAACGGCTACCAAAAAAGAAAAAGGTCAACTGTCTGCTGGTGTTATAACTATTTAAAGGCAAAATGTTCCAATGTACAACAATGTTCAGAATTCTACTATCTTAATTCCTTGATAAAAATGTTTAACTGTTAAACATTTACAGTAAAATAGTTTACAACTGTTTTCCTTCTAAGTACATAGGCCTCCAGTTTTATAAAGGAAAGAAAACATAAAAGGTTCATGTAACAGAAATTTGCTTGATGGACAACTTCGCTAGAAAACAGGAATTCCCCAAATAGAGGGACAGGCATTCAAGAAGAGTTCTCTTTAACCATCTTATCAGTCTCAGTCAATACAGGTAAACTAGAGAACAGCAGACTGGATAAAAATTCCCTTCACAAGTCTCATTGGTTTCTGAGCTTTAAGATTTAAGACTAAGGCAAGGCACAGTGCCTCACACCTGTAATCCCAGCACTTTGGGAGGCCAAGGCAGGAGGACTGTTTGAGCCCTGGGGTTAGAGATCGGCCTAGACAACAGAGTGAGACACTGTCTTTACAAAAAAAAAAAAATTAAAAATTAGCCGGGCTTGGTGGCCCACGTGTGTAGTCCCAGCTACTCAGGCTACTAAGGCGGAAGGATTGCTTGTACCCAGGAGTTCAAGACTGCAGTGAGCTATAATTGTGCTACTGCATTCCAGTCTAGGTGACAGAGCAAGACCCTGTCTCAAAAAACAAAAAACAAAAACAAAAGCAAAACAACCTTCCTTTCCATATTCCATATGTGAAGGAAACCTAAAAGAAATAGGAGAAAAGGAACCAAATGAGTCAACTATCTTCATTCTATATACCCAGCTTATTCCAAAATAAAGCAAATGAAAAGATATCCCTGTTCAGCCTGGATAACATAGCAAGACCCCACCTCTACAAAAAATTTTAAAATTAGCTGGGCGTGGTGGCCCAGGCCTGTAATCCCAGCTACTTGGGAGGCTGAGGCAAATGATCGCTTGAGCCCAAGCATTCAAGGTTACGATGAGCTATGACTGTGCCACTATACTCCAGCCTGAGCAACAAAGAAAGACCCTGTGGGGGGAAAAAATGCATGCCTGCCTATTTAGTTAACCCCTCATTAAAATGTACTTATAAAATAGCATTCCTTAATTTAAAGAGAAAGAAAATGCAGTAAAAACAAAGACCCACCCCAATAGTGTTTTCTGAATAAAACTAGTAATAAATATTTTTAAAATCTTTTTTTAAAAAATCACAGTTTGATAAAAGAGTAAAAAAAAACTTCACGTTTTCACACAAATCCTTTCTTGTCTATTATTGAACTTTACAGATGCATAAAATAATTAGTTTTAGTCATTTCTATTGTTCTAGTGGAATAGAAAGAATGCATACTGGCAACATCCAGCTAGTGTTCAGATCCTTGACAAAAAGTACACTTAAAGCTGTGAGTGATACAGAAATTTCAATTTATGACCTATTCAAAAGAATAGAAAAAAACCATTACATGTTGAACAATTTAGTACACATATTTGACATTAAGTTAAATATAATACTATGTCTTATACCAAATGCAACACTATAAAAATATACTAAATGACCATTCTCTATCAATTATAAAATATATTTAAAAAATTACAGTACCTGAAAACAACTGAATTGGGGGACTCTTGGTTGAATTTTTCAAGTACAGTAGGGGATGCTAGGTTAATTTTTATGTTATTTTCTTTCTTCACTATATTCTACAGTACTAAGTTATACTATTTTCATCTATAATTATATTTACCTGTTAATTAAACCTGCTATATCTTTGCTAAATAGTATATTTTATTCAAGTCATCCCAGGTCAAAATGAATCAAATCATTTTTAACATACAAGGCATTCCCCTGAACCAAGATCCAACTGAGCTATATTTGCCTCCATTAGTTCACATCTATAATTCATACTAATTGTTCATTTATTATTCATGTATACAACAACTTAAATGCTGAGAAAAAAAATCAGTTGGTATAGTTCAAAATGAGAGTGCATCCCCTAAGTTAGCAATTCTACCCATTTACAGTGTGCTGATTAGAAATTTATAAATCTTATAAATTATTCCTTAGTTTAAAACATTATATGATATCAAACAAAAAAAGATGACTCTGTCCATGGTTAAGCTATAGTAGGCTAACAATACATGCATATAACCTCAACAGAAGCTTTCACAAATTGTGTGTCCCCAGACCATCTACACATAAACAAATGGTATGGGTATTACCATTTTATTGCATAGCAGTGAGTGATGAAATTGAAACCAAACAATAATCTTCTTGTCTCCCAGATCATGCACCACAGGGAAGGTAATGAAAATGCTTATTATTCTTCTGACACCTCACCCAGAAAATGGCTGTCCTCAACCAGAGGACAAAGGTGAATTTCTGATTCATCTTTATAAATGCTGCACCTAGTGTGAATGCAGTAAATGTTTAAGGAATAAATGAAACCTATCCTTACCCTGTTAGAAGAACCAGCATTACACTTTGTATCCCCTCTGCTGATCCTAATAAAAAGTACTGAGGCTAAATGTGCATGTGTGGCTTGTAGGGGGGTAAATATCATTGCTTTAGTGTTTTGCATACAATAATTTTTTTATTAATATTGTTGCACTGATTTGTAAGAAGGAGGAGGAGGGGAAGAGGAGACTGCCCTGGAAAAGGAAGATGCTAAAGGGGCAAAAATAAACACTTCTTTAGTTTCTAATGACAACAGACCAACCATGTAAACATCAGTCTAAATCAATTGTTCATATAATGCCTATTTACTATGCAGCTAAGGAGAGAGGCTTCAAAGGACTGCTTTCTTTAAAATTTAATTCAGGGGGAAAAAACCTTCAAAATTAGAATTAAATCATATAATCATGTTTACTTAATAAATGAACTAACTTCAGCATTCTCATCAATTATGGAATTATTCATTTCAGATATAAATGCGTCATAATATTTGCCTGCAAATAGCATCTTAAGACAAGGAAATATGCTTTGTCAACCAAACCAGAGTCTAAATGTTATTCATCCAGATATGACTAAAAAAAAATGAATGTAACATTTTACAGCACTTTATAAATTACTTACTGTTATTTTTTAATTGCATTAAGTTTCCCAAATATAAGGACAAGTCCCAACCATACTCCTTAGCAAACCCTTTTGGTTCTGATCAACAACTACCTTGTTTCCTCCTTGCCAGTTGAATCCCCAGATGATTCAGAGGTTAAGCTAACTAATCTATGTAATCATGGTAATTGTACATTTCTTTCCAAAGAGTGTCAGGAAGGAACATGTGATCCAGTCTGGGCAAATGAAATGTGGAAGTCTGTGGGGGAAATTCCAGAAAGGTTTCCTTGTTTCAAAAGGACATTCCTGCAGAGGGGCTCTCTTCCTTCTGCAGATTGTTCTATCTCTAAGTGAAGCCTGGAATAACCACCAGCCTAAGAATAAAGGCCACGCTTCTGAAGAGGATAGAGGAGCCAAGAAAGTAGCAGAGGAACAGAAGTGTACCATGCTGGAGTCTGCCCATCACATGGACTTCTTGTAATAGGAACAATAAGCCTCCTTATTGTTTCCGTTTTCTATTCTTTGCTATCAAAACCACCCAAATTGATTCAAGACACATCCACACCCAAATTCATAATTATCATGTTTTCTTCCAAATCTTCCAAAAGCATCTTTATTTTCACAGTCATAATGTATTATATATAAATTTCATACCCTTCTTTCCCCTAAACACTATCGTAAACACTTTCCTATTTATATATATATATATATAATATTTACAATAATTATTTTAGTATCTGCATAATATCCATCAAATGCAGGTACCTGTGAGTAGTACCTTATTACTGGATATTTCATTTTCCCTTCAGTTATAAACCAAATTACTTTTACATAGGTTATCTTATCACAGGGGGCCCCAACCCCCAGGCTGCCCAGCAGGAGGTGACCAGGAGGTGAGCAAGTGAAGCTTTATCTGTATTTACAGCCACTCCCCATCGCTCACATTACCACCTGAGCTCTGCCTCCTAAGCTCTGCCTCCTATCAGATCAGCAGCAGCATTAGATTCTCCTAGGAGCTCGAACTCCATTGCGAACTGTGCATGCAAGGAATCTAGGTTGCATGCTCCTTATGAGAATCTAATGCCTGATGAAACCATCCCCCAGGTCCACGGAAAAACTGCCTTCCACAGAACTGGTCCCTGGTGCCAAAAAGGTTGGGGACTGGTGTCTTAACACATAGGCGCACACATGCGTGTGCATGCATGCACACATGCACACACACACACACAGACAGTGACCACATAAGTAAATATACACCCCTGGACAATAGCTCATAAAAGGCAATAGTAACGGGATATCTTATTGTCTTCTCTAAAAAAAAAAAAATATGCACACTAGTTAAGAAATCAGATAATGCCCCCAAATCTAAGTATTTGACATCTGCCTTAGTCTGAAAAGCAGATTGAGCTCAATATTTAAAATCAACCAGGAAATGTATCAAATCTGGTATTGCTAATAAATGTTTTTCAGCACCTGCTACATAGAACCAAGATGTAGCCCTTAAAAGTGGCGGGGGACAGCTTTCAGCTAACTTTTTAATTAACACTCACTACAAACAACAGATGGAATTCAATGAGTACAGCCTGTAAACAATAGTACTTGGTCCACATGTCCTCTATCTCTATTTCAATCAAGAGATTTTGGGTGGGTAGGTGCACATGAACAGAGGAGCATGACAAGACAAAAAGTCAGATCTCTTGACTCATCCTCTCCTCCAGAATCTCAATGATTAAAACTTTCTCATTTATTTAATGTTTTACCTCTCAATCATCAGCCACCTATGGTTGGCTTGTAAAAAAGGGAGGCTCTCAGCACAGTGTCAAGCAAGTTGCCCCATCTGCTATGCCAACCAGAGACTAGAAAAGTGACTGCCCCTCCTAGGCAGGAAACACTAAGTTATTGCAATCTATCGTGTTTTGTTGTGTTTGTTTTGCTTGTTTTAGAGACAGGGTCTCCCTCCGTTGCCCAGAATGGGGTGCAGTGTCATGACTATAGCTCACTGCAGCCTCTATCTCCTGGCCTCAAGTGATCCCCTTGCCCCAGCCTCCTAAAGTGCTGCGATTTCAGGCATGAGCCACCATGCTGGGTCACAAGCTATTGTTGGGGGAAATCAGTTGCCTGTTAATTCTTCCTGTAGAAATGCAAAAATAACCTAGCTCACATTCAATTAATAACCATATTCTGGGCAGCCATGGTAGCTCATGCCTGTAATTCCAGTACTCTGGGAGGCCAAGGCGGGAGAATCACTTGAGCCCAGGAGTTGGAGACCAGCCTGGGCAACATGGCAAAACTCCATCTCTACAAACAATACAAAAAATAATAATAATAAATTAGCTGGACTGTAGTCCCAGCTACTTCAGAGGCCAAGGTGGGAGAATTGCTTGATCCTGAGAGGCAGAGGTTGCAGTGAGCTGAGATGGCACAAATGCATTTTGTCTCAAAAAATAAAAATAAAATAACCATATTCCAGTGAACTAGGTTATTACTATCTTACACTGGTCAAATAAAAAACCAGAAGTGTCATTTCTAAAATTACACAAAAAGTTAACATTGGCATGCCTTACACCTGCTCCTAAAGCCTAACAGGGTTAAGTCACAGAATGGTGGGCTCAGTTAGTCTATATCATCACCTACCACTATACATTTTAGGTGGGTTCTAATGCCCTTCCATGTGTTCTGCCTGACTGTGACAGAGTTTTCAGCATCTAAATCACTTTGACTGCTCAATAGAAATGCATGTTCCATTCCTGATCCAGAACTGAGAATTACTCAGAGCCTGGGCTACAGTCTAGGAATCTGCATTTTAACAAGTCCCAAGGTGTTTCTAAATGCTCATAATGAGACCAGCTCCCTGGGCTGATTCAGTGTATTCCCATAGCCAGAATGATTCTTTTTTTTTTTTTTGAGACAGAGTTTCGCTCTTGTTGCCCAGACTGGAGTGCAATAGCGTGAGTTCGGCTCACTACAACCTCTGCCTCCCAGGTTCAAGCGATTCTCCTGCTTCAGCCTCCCAAGTAGCTGGGATTACATGCATGTGCCACCATGCCTGGCTAATTTTGTATTTTTAGTAGAGACAGGGGTTTCTCCACATTGGTCAGCCTGGTCTCGAACTCCCGACCTCAGGTGATCCACCTGCCTCAGCCTCCCAAAGTGCTAGGATTACAAGCGACAGCTACCGCGCCCAGCCCTAGAATGATTCTTTAGTATTAATTTGCAAGTTTCATAAAACCAGGGCCCAGGTATCATGTTTCCTGCTCTCTGACATCTGAGCCACTGGAACATCCACGCCCAGCCCTGGCTCACCTGAGGTCCCCACCCTGCCCCTTCAACTTGGCTTCAATCAACTCTTCACCATGGAGACACCAACTTCCTCATTTTTCTCAATGCAATGAAATATGTGACTCTGGCCAGCAGTGTATTTTTTAAAGGAGGGATCACATTACTGTAAATTGTTATTTTCTTTTGCCCTGGATTTCTTTAAAGAAAAAAATATGTCGGGCATGGTAGCTCTTGCCTGTAATCCCAGCACTTTGGGAGGCTTAGGCAGGAGAATCGTTTGAACCCAGGAGGCAGAGGTTGCAGTGCACTGAGATTGCGCCACTGCGCTCCAGCCCGGGTGACAGAGAGAGAACCTATCTCAAAAAAAAAAAAAACAAAGAAAAAGATACCAGATATCTTTTAAGCATAAGAGACTGTAAATCATGTGCATCAGGCCAAACATAATTCCCTTTCTTCCTGTTAGACTAGTCCATAAACTACAAAATGAGGATTACTACACAATGCAGATATTTCTACATGTGTATATGTAAGTAAAGAAATACAGCAAAATCAGCTGTGAAGTAAAAATACACATATCTAACCCTATTTTCTCCTATACTCCTCATAATATGTCTTCACATATTTTCATCAGTAAAATGCAGGAACTCACTCAGAAGGTTGCTACAAGAATGAAATGAGGCCGGGAGCGGTGGCTCACACCTGTAATCCCAGCACTTTGGAAGGCAGAGGCGGGTGGATGGCCTGAGGTCAGGAATTCAAGACCAGCCTGGCCAACATGGTGAAACCCCATCTCTACTAAAAATACAAAAATTAGCCGGGCGTGGTGGCAGGTGCCTGTAATCCCAGTTACTCAAGAGGCTGAGGCAGGAGAATCGCTTGAACCAGGGAGGCGGAGGTTGCAGTGAGCTGAGATTGCACCACTGCACTCCAGCCTGGGTGACAGACGAAGACCCTTGTCAAAAAATAAATAAATAAATAAAAATAAAAGAATGAAATGAGAAAATGCACATAAAATGTTCAGTCCAGCATCCAACACAGAATGAATGCACAGTAAGTCCTAGCTACTATGATCAGGCCAGGTTGTTTTGCGTACATGCTCAGCGCTGCAAAGGTCTTTTAAATTAATTTACTCAAAACTTGCGTTTCTCCTGATGAGGAAACCAAAGCTCTAAGAGTTAAGAGTCTTACCCAACAGTGCACAGCTACTGGCAGAGCCAAAACAGACACCAGTGTTTTCTAAAGCACAATTCAATATTCTTTTCACCACTCCATGATACTTTTGTTCACACCCCTAATTGAAATGTAGGACCAAGAGAGCCGTAACGTTCAGAATATGCCACTCATCTCAAAGCTATAGGTTATGCCCAAGCAGACTGGAGAAGTAAATGATAGAATGAGATTGAGTCTGTGAAAGTAATTCATTATTACACAGTTGATCGTTTTCCTATTTTTTTGTGGTGGTGGGAAGGGCATTTATCTCCCATCTTGAGTGGTTTCTTTTGTTTCTCTTTTGTTCAATCACTTTACTCCAGGAAGTACAAATAACTATTATGCAGTATTTGGGATTTTGTCTGGTGAGAGTTAGCTAGGAACATAAAGGCATTCAAAAGATTTACATTTCTAGTCAACTGAAGAAGGTGAGGTGGCAGGAAATCCAAGGACAAGTTACTCTCCATGTCTGAAACATAAGGCTGAGTTATGTCAGAAAGAGAGCAACAGATCACTATCATTTTTTAACTTTAAATTACTTTTCTTGAGTCTGTGCTTATGTACTTAAAGAGAAGTTGTATATTCTCTCCTACACATTCATTCTCTAATAATTCTCTGCTCTTATCTATTTATAAAACTAAGAATAATATGAAGATGAAAAAAGTCAATGTTTGCTAAACCTAAGATTTTACTATAATCTCTTATGGTGAATAACGAGACAATGCTAGCACTCTTTGTTTGACATCACCTCAAATTTTTTATAGCTACATTGGCATTCTGTTCATGAAACACAAGTAAAGCGATGACTTCATTCCCGAGGATAAAGGATAATTGATCTTAACCTTCCTATCACTTTTCCTTAACTCAAAGCACTAATGCAATTGAAGGTACTGATAAATAAAATTTCTCCAGGAAATGAATGACATTGTGACAGATAACCTCCAAGTTACCTCCAAAAAGTACAAAGTACAATATGATTCAGAATCTCAATTCAGGAAACCCTTGCCCCACAGTGTGAATGGAAAGCTGCCAAAAATATTTTGTTGAAAAGAAATTCAAACTTTGAGGATATTTTTTCTTCCTCAGTTTTTAAACAAAAAAAAAAACCTAATTTCAACAAAATCCCAACAATTCAAAATGAAGCAATGTTCAAAGCTGGATTATTCATTTACATTAAATTTATTAGTGTGATGCTTTTATTACCACAAACCTAAAACATTTTGCCACCTTTATCTCCTGATGTTACCAACTAATCCTGATAAAACATATAAAGCTAAGTAATGGCTCTGGAAAACTGTGTATAACTATATTAAGTTGCTACTTCACCAAGATAGTAGTATTCCCATCTCTTTTCCCTTTCTTTTTTTCCAGTCACTGATGATACTTACCATACTGAGCTGGAGTATGTGAATATGGCTGATTTTGGCCACATAATTTTGCCATACTTTTTAAAACAGAGGTCAACAGCTAAATTAAGGCAAAATTTTACCACATTTTTAAAAATCGGAGTCTAAAGAATGGAGGGAAGGTTATTGATTGCCACGTTAATGTAACATTTCCCTTTCCAGAACAAGTAATTATGCCTCTTTAATGTAAATATGGTAACCCACTCAACGTAAGCTAATCTAGAGAACAGACGCCCAAAGCACACTGTCACCCAATACACGAGCGCACACACACACACAGTGGCCAGAGGACAGAGCAAATTCAGAAACCCAGAGCTCAGCACCTTGCATAGAACTGTCACCCCTGACAACCTTCACACAAGCACACCTGGCTGGCTTAGATTTGCAGCACCAGTATACCTTACTGGTAACCCAGCTGCAGCCCACCATCACAGCCCGCAAACGCAAGCCCACAACCCCACACACCCCGTCACTTTTTCCAAGAGACCTGTACGCCGGCCCCAAGCCTCACTGGCTCCGAGCCCGTCCGGAGTTTCCGCGGCCGCCCCGAGGCCACTAACCGTGTCTGCAGTCGCAGTAGCCCCAGTCCACCTTGCCACGGGCGTCTCCGTAGAAACACCAGGGTCTGCCCGCGCCGTCGGGGCTCCGACAAAAGTTGTGGCGCTGTCCTCGCAGCTGAGCCCAGCTCGCTGGGGGCGACCGCTCCAGGAAGGGTGGCACCTCCGCCCACCGCAGACACGGGGCGCCGAAGTCCGTCACGCTGACCCATGGCTCGCCGGCGGGGCAGCCCCAGGGGTGCGGCCGGGGCGTGTGCCCGGCCTGGAGGGCGTGCGGGCGCTGGGCAGGGAGCGCCCGCGGGGGGCGCGGGAAGCGCGGGAGAGGCGGCGGCGGACGCGTCCTCGGGGGCCGCTGCTGGGTGGGAAGGTAATAGGGGTAGTGCGGACCCGCAGGGGGCGAATGGCGGTGGCTGTGGTGGAGGGAATCATTGAGGACAGAATCAAAGCCGACCACTTCGGGGAGCGCCCCTAACATCAGGGCTAGCACGAAGCGGGCGAGCGTCATGGTGCCAGCGCTGCGGGGTCTGGTCCATGCTCCCCAGCTTCTCGGGCTTGGAGCGGAGAAGAGGAGGGGGCGGGGGCGGGGCTGCCGCGTCCCTCGAATCCCCCAGCCCCCTCCCGCCCCCGCACGCGGACCGCCCTCGCCTCCCCAACCTTGCCTCCCGCCGCTGGTGCCCTGCCGCGCCTCGGCTCCTGTCCCCTGGCGGCGGCCGCGGGTGGGGAAATCTGGAGCTCAGCCGAGCCCCGGCCGGCGGAGAGGACCGGAAAAGAGAAGGCGCGGACGCAGCGGGGAGCGGTTGGGCCTGAGCCCCAGGTAGCGGCGCAGGCACGAGCCCGGGAACTCTGCCCCCTGGGGGCGGGCGCCGGCCGCGCAAGCTGCTCCGGACCTACGCTCGGCCCCTGCCAGGCCCACCGCAGTCCGCCCGCACGGCACTGCCAGCTGCTGGGACCGAGCCCGAGGGTGCCCGCGCGGAGCACGGTCTTGGCTGCCCCTTGCCAGCATGCAGCACCAGCACAGCCCGGCGTTGGCGGCTCCCAAATCTGGCACCGGCCCCTGCCGTCATCTCTCCTCCAACCTCGTCGCCCCGTATCTTGCTTCCTCTGTTTTGAAATCTTTACCAAAGTATGGATGGATTTAGATGCAGCTCTTCCCTGACAACTCCCAGGATAAAAGTTATCAAAACCCACGAGGAATGTTAAAGCCATTTCACTGAACTATACGCTCTTCAAGGACAAGACCACGTTTTATTCAGCTTGATATCACCGTGCTTAACACCGTGCCCCAATAAACATTGGCTGAAATTAAAATCCTGAACCGACTCAGGGAAAGGAGCTTGAGCCTTTCTGCTTCCTGCCTCCCACTTTCCAGCCGGTGCCCTGGACAACACCAGTTGTTTGGTTATTATTGGGATTCAGTGAGGCTCTCTTAATACCAAATTTCCTCTCTAACCAGAGAAGACTTCATCCGTCCCGGTTTCCATCCTATCCAAAAAGTCCACCCCCCTAGCACCTGCCTCGTTTTTTGCAGGGCAAGGGACTTCTGTTAAGCCTATTCATTTGCCTCTCCAGAGACTCTGCCTGCTGACAATTTTGAAGCTTCACTGTTGGCTCGACCTCAGCTTAGTAGGGCCCTTTCAACACTCCTCGCCCCCCTCCCGCAGGCTCCAAAAAACTGTTGGCTTAGAATCTTAAAAAAAAAAAGTTACTGGAGCTGTATGTTTTAGTATTTTGCCTTTCAGTTGTTTCTGACTATGCTACCAAAGTTTGACAAGGAGAAGGAAGCCCGTAAAGAAGGCAACATTTTATTTTCTGGCATGGTCACGTTTCGTTGTGAAAAAGCAATGCTGTCTCATAATATAATGTACCCTGAAGAAAACTTGAACAAAATTCAAATGTTTATTGTTAAAACCTAGGTTTCAATTAGGAACTGAATTAATTCACTACTAGCTTTAAATAAGCCATCTTTAGCCGGGCGAGGTGGCTCACACCTGTAATCCCAGCAGTTTGGGACGCCCAGGCAGGCGGATCACATGAGGCCAGGAGTTCGAGAACAGCGTCGCCAACATGATGAAACCCGCCTTTACTAAAAATACAAAAAGCCGGGGGAGTGTTGGCGCACGCCTGTAATTCCAGCTACTTGGGAGGCTGAGCCAGGAAAATCGCTTGAACCTGGGAGCAGAGGTTGCAGTGAGCCGAGATCGTGCCACTGCACTCCAGCCTGGGCGACAGAGGGAGACGTTGTCTCAAGAAAAAAAAAAAAAATCCATCTTTAATTTTGTGGGTCGTTTTATTGTTTTTTGTTTCACTCCTATTAATGAAATATTTGATTTTACTTTAGAGAGAATTGGGTAAAAGAAATGATGTTAAGAGTCCAGGGATGTATTTGTCAAATCTTTATTCAAGTTGTTTTCATTCCAGTTGTTTTTACCCATTATTTTTTTACTAATACTTTTCTGGCTCCAAAAGCATAGTTAAATCTATACTTGTGGAAGACAATGAAAGATAAAATATATATCTGGAGTAGTCTATTTGTTCATTTTAGTGAGGGTTGGCAGAGCTCATCAATCACAGATTTTTGAAATAATAGGTGACAGTTCTATCAGGGGTCAGCCCTTTTTCTTTCTGACTAGCTTTTCCACCTTAGGCTACACACCTGATGGCCCAGGGAAGGCTCATTTTAGGACTGTGGGGAGGCTGCTTGGACCCTGCTCCCTCCCCTTCCCACATTGACCCCTACAATCATTGCTTCCATGCTTCCTGGGGGTCCAGAAGCAGACCCAATTTCCATGCATCTACATACCTTGCAGACAGGAAAATAATGAGAGAGAAGTGAATAAAACAGAAGACTGTTAGATCTGAGCTCCAGAGAGGAGCATGGCCTCAGGCAGTCTGGCCTCTCCTCCACTTCCCTGTACTCTGAGGCCACTTAACATTTAACAGACTATAAAATTGACATACACAAAGTGGAGTTACCCACAGAAAATTCCACGTCCGGATTTCATCATTTAAGTTTTAAAACATACTTTTCTTAGAAAATATAAGGGCATTTATGTAATTATGATTTGAGGGCCTTGGCTTGGGTTTTGCCTTCTATTTGACAGGAAAAGTGTGTCTTAAATAGCTCTCTTCTTGACATGTTAGTCCCCTCCTCTGCTAATATTTTCTCTTCCTCTCTTCTTTCATTTCTCCTTGCTGCTACCAACATACAGATGTTTAGAATTTCCAATTCCCAGTTCAATCTCTGAAATGCATTTCTCCCTCTTCTACCTGTCACATCACAGCGTGTGTGGAGTTGGGGGGAATTAAGAGTACAGGGATTTACAGGAAGAAATCTTTTCCTTCTACCTCTATTAAGGCGCTACTTAGTCAAAGCTCCCTCCCAGGATTTTCATCACCCTCTAGTATATGCCAAAGGAGAGGGGAGGCAATTCCATCTTGTTACAACTGTAAGAATCTTCGTCATGTGCAGTGGCTTAAGCCTATAATCCCAGCAGCTTGGGAGCCCGAGGTGGGAGGATTGCTTGAGCCCAGGAGTTCAATACCAGCCTGGGAAACATAGTGGGACTCCGTCTCTCTAAAAAAACATTTTTTAACTACAAGGAGGCTGAGGCAGAAGAATTGCTTGAGCTCAGGAGATTGAGGTTGCAGTGAGATGTGATCACGCCACTGCACTCCAGCTTGGATAGCAGAGTGAGACCCTGCCAAAAAAAAAAAAACAAAAACAAAAACAAAAAAAACTCCCACAGCTGATCCTCTGCTTTCCCTTCCTTTCAGCAGCAACAAAGGAACAAGGAAAGGGACAAAAAGAAACAAATGACATCTTGCAGGCACACCTCATCTCAACACTTGGAAGTCCCAGGGAGGCCCCCATAATGGGACTCTGTCACCTCCATCACCTCTGATTTCATCAATCCTCTGTCATTGATTTGGGACCCAAGAATTCAACTCTCCTTTGCCACACAGCCCTGTTCTGGTAGTGCCTAGATCCAGAACAACAACTGGAAACCTAGGGAAGTGAAGGGAAGAGTCTCCCTGCACACACAACGGCAGGGAGGGTGGGTAGTCTTGGGGGTGAGGGTGCGGTACACATACATCTGCATATCTGTGCTTTCCCACGGCAACTGTGTTATACATGAATATTTGGTTTTGTGGTAGTTTAGGGGATCATCTTACTTCACATAAGTGATGGGCTGAATAGCTCTTGTGTAGTTTGATTTGGAAACATAGCCGATATGTATATTATTTTTAGAGAGTTCCAAAAACCAATATACAAAATAACTTTTGGAAAAGGCCCATTTACAATTTAGATAATGCCTGCATTTAGAAAAGCTAAGAACTTTTAAACAGAAGGCTAAGAACAGTATTTACTTTGACAATTCCAATGGCAAAAAAAATTTTCAAAAGAACACTGAGCATTGCTCTTTCACATCAAAGGAAAAAAAGTCAAATAATATGAGGGACTGTCTAGGGACTGTAGGGGACTCAAAATTATAGAACATTGTCCAGCCTATAGAGAGGTGAAAAGAAAATTAGATGACAATATAATATTTTATGTAAAATTCAAAAAAATAAGAGAAACATCCAAAAAATAAATGATGAATTGCCAAATGAATGGCACAATGCTTTGGGGTCAGAAGTCCCTGTTAGTAGGCAGTCTCTGGCAATACAGGGAAAGTCTCCACCTATGCCTTGTATTAGTCACACTCTTCTCTGCTCGCCCCAAACCATGAAGACATCTGAGGGCCAATGATTGCAACAGTAGTACTATAGGAGTCATTTGATCTTGATTTTTCTCATGGTTTAAGGTTGAATTTCATCAACAGAACAAAATGCTTTTTAATTTGGATTGATGTTTAAAATTCACCTAAATGATATAATTCCTATGCAGAAATTAGTTCTACAGACTCATTTTCAGGGTTACCCAAATTATATGTACTAATAGGTAAGGAGTGTGTGTGTGTGTGTGTGTGTGTGCGCCTCACACTCTCTCTATATATAGTTCCTAAACTTGGTTACTTTGGCCTTGGCATCAAACCTGTGCTTGATCTGCACACTAATCAGTAGGGAAATTCAGACGAGTTTCTTTACCTCCTAAGCCCAAGGCTCCTCATCTGTGAAAAAGGGAGAGTGACAGTACTTGCATGCTAGATCTCTGTGAGGGGTAGTTGAGATAATGCATGTAAACTGTTGAACAGAGTACTCCATATTGTACGGTGGAATAGCATCAGTAACTGCCATTGAATTCTTAACCCCTCAAACTAAGTCACCCAGTGAAAATCTACATCAGTGATGCAGGAAATTTGCCTAGATTTTCCCTCCCCATCATGCTCTGCCTCTTACTGCACCTCAGCAATTTCCGCTTTAAGATTGATGGCAGTCATGAGGCTGCTGTAGCTCTGCTCACTTGAGCGCTTGTTCTCTTTGTATGTTCTCTCTCTTCCTCTCCACAAGTTTTGTCCCTGAAAGCCAATGAAACACTAAGTATCTCAAATTAAAACACTTCTCCAGAGGAGTTTGCCTAAGTATAACGAGTGGTTTTCAAATCCCTCAGCCTTCTAGTTGCAAGTGGGCTGTGATCACAGAGGAAAAGAGTAAACAGATTGAAAGAAACACAGCACCAGAACTGCTTGCCAATGATCTGGGAATCACAGAATCTTAGTGTGGAAAAGGGCTTAAAGCTCCAACTTCCTGTCAAATGCAGGAATCCTTCCAGAACTTTCTGACAAATGGACTTCTATCTATTTCTTTCTTTCTTTTTTCTTTCTTTTTTTTTCTTTCTTTTTGAAATGGAGTCTTACTCTGTCACCCAGGCTAGAGTGCAGTGGCACTATCTCAGCTTACTGCAACCTCTGTCTCCCAGGTTCAAGTGATTCTCCTGCCTCAGCCCCTGAGTAGCTGAGATTACAGGCATGCACCACCACACCTGGCTAATTTTTTGTATTTTTAGTAGAGGCAGGGTTTCACCATGTTGGCTGACTGGTCTCGAACTCCTGACCTCAACTAATTCGCCTGTCTTGGCCTCCCAAAGTGCTAGGATTACAGCCGTAAGCCACCATGCCCGGCCCCATCTATTTCTTTAAAACTAATCACGGGAGAAGTTCCTACTTGGGAGCCAGCACACTCTTATCTCTAGAAAATCCAAATTGTTCAGAAAATCTTCCCTTCCATAAAGCCAGAAGTTCCCTACAGGTAGAAACCTACTTTATCTAGCTGTAATTCTGTTTCTATCCTCCTACTGATTTGGGGGAATAGAGGTTATTTGAGTGGGCAGTAACAGTTGTGGAATCCACCCCACCTGGGTTCAAATCCCTGTTAAATTATGTATTAGCTTCTTGGCCTCCAGGGGATGCTAAAGACTCTTTTCTTCCCCATTTCTCTCTATCCTCAAGAAAGAGGAGATGTGTTGACTTGAGGGGGCAGATCCAAGAGCAGTAATTAGTCCACATTACTAGGGTCCATTAGTAGTATTATCATGTGAGGTATAAATAAGTCTGTATATGGCTGGGAGCAGTGGCTCATGCCTGTAATTCCAGCATTTTGGGAGGCCAAGGTAGGAGGATCATCTGTGCCCAGGAATTCAAGACCAGCCCGGGCAACATAACAAGACCCTGTCTCTATAAAAAATAAAAATAAATAAGACTGCATAAGCATAAGTAATCAGTTTCCTATTTTCTCTCCTTTTGCTTATTGTGTTTTTCTTTACTTTATCATTGGAATCATAAGAACCATAAAGCTGAGGTTTGGGTAACAGTTGTAGTAAAAGGTAGGAAAAGGCGCTGTTTAGCTATTTGGCCTAGATACTAGTAAACTGCTTTGGGGTTTGGGGGCAAAATTCCAGTTAATTTTAAAAGCTTGCATTTGGCTAAGCTTGTCCTCTACATATAGATGTCTCCCAGGGAATTCACTGGGAGTGGGGAGGCATGAAGATCGTGTGAGAAGTGTTCAAACCAGAGCAACTCCATCTTGAATAGGGGCTGGTTTCTTGGAGGATGAGACCTGCATTCCCTAGAGGTTAGGCATTCTTAGTCACAGGATGAGATAGGAGGTGAGCAGGACTGGCTCCATAAGATACAGGTCACAAAGACCCAGCTGATAAAACGAGATGTGGTAAAGAAGCCAGTGAAAATCCACCAAAAGCAAGATGGCGATGAAAGCAACCTCTGGTCATCCTGGCTGCTCATTATACGCCAATTATAATGCATTAGCGTGCTAAAAGACACTCCCACCAGTGCCATGATAGTTTGCAACATCCAAAAGTTACCCTGTATAGTCTAAAAAGGGGAGAAACCCTCAGTTTCAGGAACTCCCAACCCCTTTCCCAGAAAACACAGGAATAACCCACCCTTTGTTTAGTGAATAATCAAGGAATACCCATAAGTATACTTAAGCAGCCCATGCTGCTGCTCTGCCTGTGGAATAGCCACCCTGTTATTCCTTTACTTTTCTTAATAAACTTACTTTCACTTTACTCTGTTGGCTCACTCTTGAATTCCTTCCTACATGAAGCCAAGAACTCACATGGCCTCCCAATTTTGGGGTTCACCCTGTGACAACATGATTTCAGGATCCTAGCTTCCCAGTAATCCGTCATTACTGATAACCTCTCAAAATATAGTTTGCCTGTCCATAATATGGAGGTAACAATTCTACTCTACAGGATTAAAAATATTATGTTGGACACTAAGCAAATGACTATCATTTAAGTTTGTGGAAACAATTATCAGGGCTTTTCTGCTTTTTCTAGACTAAATGAACTATTTTTCCTTCTACCATTTCTTATTTTGATGCCTTATGCTGGAACCCCTTCTCTGGTTAAGCCCAAGTGCAACAATATCCTCATTAAACTGTAGCTCATAGAATTAAAAAACAATACTTTAGGTATTATTTGACCACAGCAGATTTCGAGAGAATAAAAATGTTCCCCTTGTTTCAAATATCATACTATGATTATATTAACTTGTTTACAGCCACATAACATTTGGTTCTTATACAATAAGCACAACGTTACTTAAATTCTTGTCAGCCTGAAAATTTTCAACAACCCTGTTCAAACTGTGAAATCTTCCCTAACCAAATTCTGCTCTCAAAATATGTGTTAGCCTGGCACGCTATACACACAGAATTTCACAATCATAATCACATTAATCCAGAGCTGTCTTCATTATAAGCTCTTTAATGGAAATAATTATGCACTCCACAGTGATTGGTCCTTAACTGGCAGCCAATGAATAGTCATTGAACAAATGAGGTTTTTAAGTAAAGTGCAAATGAGTCTTTTCCTTTTTTTTTTTTTTTTATAATATGGTAGTGTAGTGTCTACAAAAGACATCGCAAACCAGAAGCCAGCAAAATGCATATGCCATCCAAATATGTTTTATGTGCTACCAACTCATTTTTTTTTTAATTTTTATTTTTTTGAAACCAAGTTTCACTCTTGCTGTCCAGGTGCGAGTACCATGGCATGATCTCGGCTCACTGCAACTTTCGCCTCCTGGCTTCAAGTGATTCTCCTGCCTTAGCCTCCCAAGCAGCTGGGATTACAGGTGCCTGCCACCAAACCTGGCTAATTTTGTATTTTTAGTAGAGATGGGTTTCACCATGTTGGCCAGGCTTTTCTCGAGCTCCTAACCTCAGGTGATCCACTTGCCTCGACCTCCCAAAGTGCTGGTATTACAGGCGTAAGCCACAGTGCCCAGCCCCAACTCATTTTAAAAATTAAATTTCATTCATGATTTTAAGATGAGTAGCTCACACATAAAATTATTGATTTCTAGCTTCTCTTATGTAACTGTAAGAATACTTTTGGCTGCAAGTAAAGTAAACCTCAAGCTGCCTTACAATAAGGTTTTTTAAGGACCATATAGGTCTCATAAAATAGGAGGCATCAAATTCCCCAGGGTTAATTCCTTCAATGTCTAACTAACTATGCTCTTGAGGTCCCAGGCTCCTTGTCTTTTTCTGCCTGCCCATCTTACTGTTAGCTTCACCTTCATACTGCCAGCAAATGGCAAGACATCATATTCAGACAGAGCCTGTGTTTAGAGGAAGAAGAGAGACTTGTTATTTCTGTACCTCTTTTTTAGGAGCAAAGAAATCTTTCCCAGAAACCTCCTTGGAGATTTTTCCTCTAATGTTGTTGACCAGAATTGGGTCACATACTTGTTCAATAAACATTCTCTGGCAGGGAGGATAAACATCCTAGGATCAGCTTGGACTAATTATCTGGGGTATAATGGATGCTTGGGAAGAGATTAATCCAACCTATGTGTACTACCTTGAAAAATCAAAAGATCTGGCAATGCTGCAATCCAAATTCTCACATGGCAACAAATGTCTAGAGCTGTTTCTATCCTTACAGAGACCTAGAAAATGGTCTTCAGTTCCCCATGGTCCCCACTTGCCTGGCCTTTGTAACCATTTGAGTTTTACCAGACCTAGTTTATACTTCTTTATCTGGCAGGAATTTCATGCTAAGTTATAATGTTTCATGGGTATTTTAGTCTATGGATTTTTCACAGTAAATGATGTGTAGGTAATTGTGTGAGTTATCTATAGCACATAACAAATTGTTCCACAACTTAGTGTTTTAAAACAACAAGTGTTTATTATCTCACAGAGTCCTGAGGATCAGAGATCTGGGAGTGGCTAATCTGCAGCTCAGGGTCATGAAGTTGCAGTAAAAATGTTATTGGGACTGCAGTCATCTGAAGGCTTGACTGAGGTAGAGGAACTGTTTCCCAGATCACTCATGTGGCTGTTGGCTGGAGGCCTCAGTTCCTTACCACATGGACTTCTCCAAGGTGGTGCTTAAAACGTAACGTTAGCTTCCCCATTGCAAATGATACAAAAGAACAAACAAGACAGAAGACACAAAGACTTTTATAACTTAATCTCAGAAATGGCATATCATCACTGCTGTCATATTCTATTACTCACACAGTAAATTAGCCCTGGTACAGGGCAGGAGAAGACTATGAAATGACGTGAATTCTAGGAGATAGGGATTGTTGGGGGCCATCTTTGAGGCTGGTTAACAGTTATATTCTGCAAAATTGCTCTAAAACAGAGAATTTAAAAATACTGTGTTTATAATGTGGCAATATGTATTTTCTAAATGCTAAATAAGTAAGTGCATTTTCAATGAAACAAGCATTTTAAACAAAACATAGGGTCAGTTCCAAGCAAAAGTGTTTTAATTTCCCTACAATTGCATCTCCCACTATACTTTATGAGCAGGCTCATTCTTGGTCTATTATTTTTCTGGTTACAAGAAAGCAAAAGATTTTATCCATGAATTTAGGTATCCAGACTCACAGTAGGACTCCAGAGTGTACCAGCTGCCTGATAAGACTTAATATGTCAATCAGCCTTGAGTTATTAATATCTTAATAGGGACAAAAGAATGCATGAAACTGACAAGGGAACTATAGGATTTCAGGCACCCTCTGAACTGAGTCCCGAGGAGCAGAAATTTGGGTAAGAAAGATGCTTCCTGAAAAGCTATCACTTGTAAGGCCTCTCATTAGAATACTGCTAAAGACAAAGAATTGTAAAACAAAACCAAAACAACCATGGTTTAATTTGACAAAAAGATTACCAAAGTTTTTCAGTTAAATTATATTTACTATCTTCAAAACAAACATCTCTGAGTATTTTGTAATGCATCAGAATTTCCTGTCCAATAAATTAAGCTACACACATTTCTATTGCCTCCCAATACACTCTCAGCCAAACAAAAAACCCCAAAGCGTCAAAAAGTTTATATGCATAATGAAGCTATAACAACTAGAAACAAAATTTGCTGGTACAACTAAATCAGAAAGAATTTCTTTTCCCCCACTTTCATAAAACAGCTACGTTGTGAAGGACAATATGCCCTCATTTTGGTGCTGAAAGATTGACACAGTTTTGAAACAGAGACTCATTGGCAGTATTAACAGCTGAGCTGTGTAATAAAACAAACTCAGGGCATTAAAAATATGACGCTACCCTAGACTAGTCTTTATTTTTAGAAGGCTTAGAAACCTCTACCCAGTGTAAAAGGCTTTTTCATATGACTTAATGTTCTTTGCTATCGAATGTCATTTAAAAGATGAAATATGGTCATTAAACAAGTAAGACAGTATTTGGCACATAGCATTAGTTATGTTGCAGCCCACAGCTGAGGCTGAGCAGACAACTTTATATAAGTTGCTAGGTTCCATCAGGATTCTAAAATAAGAAATGGTAACTGGTTAGACTTTGTTCTGTGAAACAATGCCTATTAATGCAATGCACATGTCTTGTGGAATGTTCGTCTTCAGAAATATTTTAAGTAAATTATTTCAGAGAATCAACAATAACTTTGGATAACATTAACCTTTGGACCTTAATTAGCTCAAGGCATATAATGATTAAAGCAGAAGGAGATGACCTGTTAAAAAATAGATCTCTAGAAGGGAGGAATTTAAAATGTTTAAACATTGAAAACACACAAAAACCAGATAAATGACATGGGTTTAAGAAGACAAACGTCATGATTTTCATTTTTGATTGTGATACACAGTGTTTTTGGAAGCTATGATTTTATACTTTATAATTTTCTATATTGTTTTATTTTCTAAATATGTTTGATAAAGATCTTTAAAGAAAGAGTGCAAGCAGAGTAAAAATATCTTTAATGTACACCCATCTAGTAGCGTCCATTTAAAGATATACCGACTTATTCATAATGAAGAAGAATTTTTCTCAAGTGGTTGGATGGATTTGTGTTGACTGTAAGTAAGCTTTTGAGGGAGATATTGGGTCTTACTCATTTCCAGATTCTCATTTAGTGAAAGCTGCTCAATAATGTTTTTCACTGATTCTATCTCCAGTCTCTTACTTAGTTCTCTTTTTGGTCAGTGGATTAGATTACCTTTGTGAGATGGTTGGCTGGAGGTAAATGCATAGAATGCAGTGAATACAGGGTTACAAGGTTGTTGTTACTGTTTCCTGCAAATTTAATAGATTTTATGGGAAATGTTAATAAAAACTTACTTTGTTTAGAATATTTTGCTAAAAATATACATTTTTCACTACATTTTCTTTCTAATTCTCTCAGAAAATGGATTGGATTATCCATTCTAGAGGCTTTGAACTAGATGGATTGTAACCTACACTATTCTAGAGGCTTTGAACTAGATGGATTGTAACCTACACAATTTATAAAAGCATCTGGATATGAATTTGGAGCAACGATAATTTGAAAAGTGCTTTAAGCGGTCAGACATATGCTAAATCAATCCGGGAACACACAACCACCTACATTTCTCTTTGGCAAATACAGAAGAACACTGGGATTTTACTGTTTCTCATATAGCTTCACTCTAGCCCATGGGGCTCATGAAGTTGCAGTATATTAAACAATCTAAAAAGATTTCTGCATGCGGTATAAATTACTGTATTTAAATCAGTAAAAAATAAAGCATATGCTATAATCAGGAAAAATAAATGAATAGATCAGATATTTTTGGGAAATTAAAAAACTGATACAAGAGATGTAATTAACGATACTGTTTTATTTCAAACAGAAACTCTCATTATCTACACTTGATGATTCATAAGCCTAAGTTACTCTGAGGGGGTTGAGAATATTTACCTTTGCTTGCTTTTTATTTGCAAGGATTAAAGCCAGATTACCTTCTCTTTTTGTATACCTAAGTATCTAGCAAGGTTTGTTCCAAACTACACTATGTGGTTAATGCCAAATCAAATTTTAGGTGAAATAAAAAGGGACAAACTATAAAGAAGAATTATAAACAGTAAATCTAATAAATAAACATTAAATTTTATTTTTTTATTTTTTATTTTTTGAGATGGAGTTTCGCTCTTGTTGCCCAGGCTGGAGTGCAATGGTGCGATCTTGGCTCACCGCAATCTCTGCCTCCTAGTTTCAAGCAATTCTCCTGCCTCAGCCTCCCGAATAGCTGGGATTACAGGCATGCACCATCATGCCCAGCTAATTTTGTATCTTTAGTAGAGACAGGGTTTCTCCATGTTGGTTAGGCTGGACTCGAACTCCTGACCTCAGGTGATCCGCCTGCCTTGGCCTCCCAAAGTTCTGGGATTACAGGCCTGAGCCACCACACCCAGCCATAAACATTAAATTTTAAAATCTATCCTTATTCTTTCAGATTTGTCTGTTTGTTGAACTCTAGCTCATGTTCAAAACTTGCTTTAACAGCATACAAACTATAGACAGGGGAAGAGTCAAAGTGAATATCTTGACAATTTAGGTAAAATAATAAGAGTTGGCATTAATTGAACACTTACTCTGTTCAAGACCCCACAATAAGCATATCGTCAATCATATCAATCATTCATTTTATGTATGTTCATTAATTCTTCCCAAAGCCTATAATATAGGCAGACAGGCATTATTATCCAATGGGGAAAAAATAATAATAAAAGAAAAGAAAACTGAAGCTCAGAGAGTTTAATCAACTTGCCTAAATCTATAAAAGTAGTAAGTGATTAAGATGAGATACGCAGGCAGGACCATAACCACTTCATTGCAGAACAGAAAATAAGCTTCTTTTTCTTTTTTTCTTTTTTTTTTTGAAACAGAGTTTCACTCTGTTGCCCAGGCTGGAGTACGATGGCATGATCTTGGCTCACTGCAACCTCCGCCTCCCGGGTTCAAGTGATTCTCCTGCCTCAGCCTCCCGAGTAACTGGGACTACAGGTACCCGCCACCATGCCCAGCTAATTTTTGTATTTTTAGTAGAGAAGAGGTTTCACCATGTTGGCCAGGCTGATCTTGAACTCCTGACCTCAGGTAATCCACCTGCCTCAGCCTCTCAAAGGGCTAGGATTACAGGTAAGCCACTGTGACCAGCCAATAAGCTTTATTTGCAACTAAATTATTCTAATTGTTATCTTCAACTATAAAATTCAGTACAGATGCTCAATTCATGATTTCTCAAAAGCAAAGATGAAGATCCTAGTAGACTTCATTAATCTACAAAGTTATATTAGACTGAAGTCTTACATCGGGTTATAGGAATTGTAGCCATGCAGCCATCCAATTTAGAAAAGTAGATTTAAAGAACTTAAAATCTTCAGGTCTCTGGTGACTGAGTTTATCAGGCAAGTTTCCACACTTGAGCACCAGCTGAACATAAAGATCTGGACTTTGAAAAGCAGAAAAACCAAATGGGAATATTATAGCTAATGAGGGGTCACCACTTACCACTGAGCTGAATGCCTGACCTGGTTATGATTTTGTCACATATGTGAGTTTCTATGGCATAATTTGGCAGTTACCAACCCAAGCTATGAGCTCACACAGCTTGGGTTCAAATTCATCTCAGCTGCTTATTATCAATTTGAGCATTTTGGCAAGTTATATAACTGCATTAAGCCTTTTAAAATTGTTATAAGAATTAAGTGGGATAATTTTTGTATATTTTGGTATAACATTTATTTTAGATCTGACTTTTTTTTTTTTTTGAAGTGGAGTTTTGCTCTTATTGCCCAGGCTGGAGTGCAGTGGCACCATCTCGGCTCACTGCAACCTCTGCCTCCTGGGTTCAAGCGATTCTCCTGTCTCAGCCTCCTGAGAAGCTGGGATTACAGGTGTGCGCCACCACACCCGGCTAATTTTTTGTATTTTTAGTAGAGACAGGGTTTCACCATGTTGGCCAGGCTGGTCTCGGACTCCTGACCTCAAGTGATCCACCCACCTTGGCCTCCCAAATGTTGGGATTACAGGCGTGAGCTACCATACCCAGTCAGGTCTGACTTTTCAAAAAAAAAAAAAAAAAAATATATATATATATATATATATACACAGAAGTATTAATTTAAGGAGAAAGTGAGAAATATTTAGTTCATAAACTGCTCTTATTGAAAATAGTAGGTTGGACACAGTGGCTTACGTCTGTAATCTCAGCACTTTGGGAGGCTGAGGCAGAAGGATCATTTGAGGCCAGGAGTTGGAGACCATTCTGGGCAACAAAGTAAGACCCCATTTCTACAAAAAAAAAAAAATCTGTTTTTAATTAGCTGGGGTTGGTGGCCCACACCTGTAGTCCCAACTACTCAGGATACTAAGGCAGAAAGATTGCTTGCACCCAGGAGTTCAAGACTGCAGTGAGCTATTATTGTGCCACTGCACTCCAGCCTGGGTGACAGAATGAGACCATATCTCTTGAAAGAAAGAAAGAAAATAACAAAAATAGCTATTTGAAAACTACTGACCACTAACACACAATTTCAAAGAAATTTTGTATGTATTATGTTATATTATGTAACGTAGCAATTAAGGACTGGCCTTCAAGAGGAGTCAGAAAAAGTCTGTGTTCAAAATTTAACTCTGCTTCTTACTTAACTCGGATGACATCAGGCAAGTTGCTTAACTTCCTTTAGCTCAGTTTACTTGTCTATAAAATAAGGATAACTCTAATATTTCAGCAGTAACTTTTTTTAATTTTAATTTTTTTGTACAGACAACATCTCCCTGTGTAGCCCAGACTGGTCTCAAACTCCTGGTCTCAAATGATCCTCCCACCTTGGCCTCTCGACGCACTGGGATTACAGGTGTGAGCAACTGTACCCAGCTGGTAATCATTATTTGATGAATAAATAATGAAATAACAGCATGGTACCTGGCATATAATACACTTTAGATAAATGTCTGTTAATAATGTTAATAAAATTATTATTGTTCAAGTATAAGTACAAAATAAGAACTCTAAAGCTCAAGTAAAGGGAAGTGAAAAGAACTTTGGCTTTTTCTCCCTATTGCTTGCAATTCAATTTGGCCACATACTGG
This sequence comes from Homo sapiens, assembly GCF_000001405.40. NCBI lineage: Eukaryota > Metazoa > Chordata > Mammalia > Primates > Hominidae > Homo > Homo sapiens. Next base: position 118,368,012 of record NC_000004.12, read on the forward strand.
GCCACTAGACTGTCTTCTGAGAAAAGAGGTAGGAGAGGGAAATGTTAGACGTGGTTTAATGAAGTCACATGTTCAATGACAATTGAGACTCAGCCTGCCCAGGAGCTGGGTAAACATTAGGCTCTCTGGCCTCAAGTAGTTGGTGCTTAAGAGCAGGCATAACAATCTTCTGCCAAGGGAAAATATTGATCAATAAACATAAACGTTACCTGAAAGAGTTCTTAACATTTCAGTGATTATTCTGTTAAGAAAGAAAAAACAAAGATTGTTTGTTTCAGAAATTTTTAAGGTGCCCAGCCTAGGCTTCTGTATGAATTCCTGAATAATAACAGGCCAAAAGAATTCAAGGCTGGGTGCGATGGCTCATACCTGTAATCCCAACACCTTGGGAAGACAGGGTGGGAGGATGGCTCGAGGCCAGCTGTTGGAGACCATCCTGGGCAACATAGTGAGACCTCTCATCTACAAAAAATTTTTAAAAATTAGCCAGGTGTGGTGGTGCACCTCTGCAGTCCTAGCTAGTTGGGAGGCTGAGGTAGGAGGATTACTTGAGTCCAGGAAGCCAAGGCTGCAGTGAGCTATCATCACGCCACTGTACTCCAGCCTGGACAACAGAATGAAACCCTGTCTCCTAAAAAAATAAAATTAAAATAAAAAAAAAGAATTCAAGAAAATTCCTCTTCCTTAATCACAGATAGATAATGCTTCTAGGGCTTCCATGCAGGCTATAGTTAGCTGCAAATGATTTTATTCTTCCTTCTTTCCCCAGGCCTCCAACAACACAAGCTCTCTTTGAAATATAACCTTGATCTTTAGCAGGTTTCTAACCATTAACTTTCTGTCAGAAGAAGGGAATATTACAATAAAGGTGATCATTCAAAAGATGGATTTACTTATTTTTTCTTAACATTAAATTCTTCTTTATATTTATTGTTATATTTAAATAAGGAGATACTATGTTGCCTAGTGGATAGCACATAGATTGGCAATCAATGCACATTATGTCAAATTCTACTTGGCTATTTTATACCTCAGACTTGCTGTTTTTGATTGAGTTGCATCTGTAGATGACAATGTCACCTCATAGTAATGTTTTGCAGAGATGCTGTAAAAAGAAATGCTGTTTGTTACTTCATATGCACTCAACAGACGGTATGTTTTTTGTTCCCCTTTTTTTTTTTTTTTGTATAAGAGGCAGGAGAATAGCTTGAACCAGAGAGGCAGAGGCTGCAGTAAGCCGAGTTTGTGTCACTGCACTCCAGCCTGGGCAACGGAGCGAGATTTCGTCTCAAAAAAAAAAAGAAAAAAGGAAAAAAAGATCAATGTTCATTCAATATTATTAGAGGATTAAATGTTTGTTCCTTTCCAAAGCATGTGTCAAGAAGCAGTTTTGCAATCCAGACTGAAATGGAACTAGTCAGGAAAACTTGTTATAAACCCTTGAGAACACGCTAACCTTTAGAAAAAAACTCACCCAGTGTTTATTTGGGACCCTGAAGTCCAGTAAATAATGTGTATTTAATTAAAATCTCAGCTTCTTTGGGAAGGAAGTGAACTTTCTTTGTCGTTCAAATTGGTAGGCAAAGGAATTTAGACCAAATTAAAGTGTTGTTGAGCCTTCAAAATACAAAACAAACGAAATAATATTTCTAAGGACTAAATTATATGCTGATTTTTTTGTCTTCCCACACTGACATTTTAACTCTTTTACTGTATTAAAAATATAAAGTGGCCAGGCGCAGTGGCTCACGCCTGTAATCTCAGCACTTTGGGAAGCCAAGGCACGCGGATTGCTTGAGCTCAAGAGTTCGAGACCAGCCTGGGCAACATGGTGAAATCCCGTCTCTACTAAAATACAAAAACTTAGCTGGGTGTGGTGGCGTGCGCCTGTAGTCCCAGCTACTCAGGAGGCTGAGGCAGAAGAATTGCTTGAATCCAAGAGACGGAGGTTGCAGTGAGCTGAGATCACGCCACTGCACTCCAGCCTGGGTGACAGAGCGCAACACTGTCTCCAAAAAAAAAAAAGAAAAGAAAAAATATAAAGCATTTAGGCCATTGAACTTTACCTGTGATGCAGTTTCATAAATATTTCTTGAAGGAATAAGTAAATGAATCAATGATTGTCTTTACTCTGTTCTCCACCTATCTAAATCTTATTAACCAAGGTCCATTTTTTCCCCTATAAATGTCCTTCCAGAGGATTCCAGCCCAAAATGTAGATTAAAACAAGTGCCCTCATTTTCAAAAGTACTAGACTACCTTTTAGAATTCACTACCTCTCTGCCCTAAGTTTCAATTGCTAGTCAACTCTGACCCAAATGATCACCTCTGAGTTTAGGTTAGACCCAATCAATTACGTTCTCATAATCAATTATCAGAGACTATTCAATGAGTATGTAATCTCAAAGCATTAGTCCCAAAATTGAACTTGGGACTCTTAAGGGTGCCACCATGCTATTCCAGACAGCCAATTTTAGGAGGAAGAACAGTGTAATCCCTGACTTTTCATGCCAGTCTGCTCAAGACACTGAGGAACCCCATCCAGGCCCATTCCAGTCCTGGCTGTCAACAGACAACAAACCAAAGTAAGCCCTATGTAAAACAGATATTTTTAAAGTGGCCAGGAGCGGTGGCTCACGCCTGTAATCCCGGCACTTTGGGAGGCTGAGGCGGGTGGATCACCTGATGTCTGGAGTTCGAGACCAGCCTGACCAACATAGTGAAATCCTGTCTCTACTAAAAATACAAAATTAGCTGGGCATGGTGGCACATGCCTGTATTCTCAGCTACTTGGGAGGCTGAGGCAGGAAAATCGTTTGAACCTGGGAGGCAGAGGTTGCAGTGAGCTGAGATGGTGCCATTGCACTCCAGCCTGGGCAACAAGAGCGAAACTCCGTCTGAAAAAAAAAAAAAAAAAGAAATCTGTACTTCTTGCTTTTCCATAGTCTTCACTTTGGTTACTCTTGCCCTCTCTAAGAGTGTGCTTCCGGAATCAGATCCCAGGGCCTACTTTGCTAGGTGTGGTGCTTTCTAGAGACTCCTACTTAGAAGGCAGCCTTAGGAGTACAATCGTTGAGTTACAATCTTTCCTCTTCCTGTAATTCCCTCAGTGCAAACACTTTGTTGTGGACCATATCAGGCTCTTGGTGTTTTCAAACAGTACCAGTGAATCTGATAAATTCCATTGTGCTACACTAAAATAACCTTCAGGGCCTCTTCCCTACCTCAAAAAGTCTTAATGATGGTTTTTTATTGATACTTTGGTTTGCCATCCAAAGGAATGAGAGAAGAGGTTAAAATTCTAGACCAGGTGAGAGGTGAAGGTGAACAGGTTGAGACAGATACTTTTTATGAGTAGCTTGCTGAGGAGCTTGATTCTTCTGAGTACGTGGCCAACAGCTTTTTCCCAGCTTTCCAGTGCCTGCTAAAGAATGAACTTGGCCGGGCACGGTGGCTCACGCCTGAAATCTCAGCACTTTGGGAGACCAAGACGGGCAGATCACGAGGTCAGGAGTTCGAGACCAGCCTGACCAACATGGTGAAATCCTGTCTCTACTAAAAATACAAAAATTAGCTGGGCGTGGTGGTGTGTGCCTGTAATCCTAGCTACTTGGGAGGCTGAGGCAGGAGAATCACTTGAACCCTGGAGGCGGAGGTTGCAGTGAGCCGAGATTGTGCCATTGCACTCCAGCCTGGGCATCAGACATCTCAAAAACAAACAAACAAAAAAACAGAATGAACTTGAGCAAGTCATTTGGAGAAAAGGAAAGTTTTCCACTCGACGTTTGTTATTTTCTATGGTGATTTCTAAACATCTCCATTCCCTATTGTCCTTCCCTCTTTTTCTCAGCCATTTTTCCTCCTGAATGCTCTTTGTCTCTTCCCACACCCATTTCAGTGGTAATTTTTTCTGCACAGCTTACTAAGCCTGAAGTTCTCCCACTTCCTTTGTTTCTATCTTCCTCTTCCACGTACATGTTCTATCGTTCTTTAAGATTCTTCTTTTTTTTTTGAGATGGAGTCTCGTTCTGTCGCCCAGGCTGGATGGAGTGTGCAGTGGCGCAATCTCGGTTCATTGTAAACTCTGACTCTTGGGTTCGAGCAATTCTCCCACCTCACCCTTCCGAGTAGCTAGGATTACAGGCGTCCACCACCATGCCCAGCTAATTTTTTTTTGTATTTTTAGTAGAGACGGGGTTTCACCATGTTGGCCAGGCTGTTCTTGAACTCCTGACTTCAAGTGTTCCACTTGCTTCGGCCTCCCAAAGTGCTAGGATTACAGGCATGAGCCTCCGCACCCAGCCTCAAAATTCTTCTTCTGAAATCCGTTACTTGCATAATGGACATGCCAGCTCTGAAATTTTCCTCTTGGGACTGGAATAAAGGGGAAAACAGGAGAAAAAAAGATAAAAGAAGCATTAGCTCTGTTTCTCATCTTCCTCTGTGGGACTAAAGACAGACAGAAACCAGGCTCTCCCTCTCTGTGAAAAACCCATGAACCTTGGAGGTTTCTTCATCTCCCTTGACAGATTGAAGCCTTAAATATCTGTCTAAAGTCATTAGGCCGTTAAAGTGTTTACATTTTATTTATGCACTATTCTGTTAATATTATCATTACTATGATTGATCATATTAAGAGAAACAATGCTATTTCCCTTTTTTTGTTATTTAATCTTCTCGAATCTGGTATAATTTGTTGATATCATTAAAACAGAATAGTGTAAAATGTCAACATGTTAAAAGACTCATAAAATGATTACATATTTCAGTGAGGCATCCAACTGATATTTTAACATTGTAGACATAATAAAAGAGTTCCTATGACAATTATTTATCACAAGATAACTTTTGCCACAAACTCATAAGAAAATTCACGATATCAGCTTTCAGAGTGAAAAAATACCTTGAAATTTAAATTATAAAATATATGAGTTGTGATTGTGAGATTTTATCTCAGTTTTTCTAGAAAGCATGCAAAAATGAAGCATTTTTACCACTGTGACATTATAGTCACTTGTCTGCTGAAATTACAATGAAGTCTTTTGTCTTAATCTATAATGAGTTCTGTAGAATGGCTGCATATTTCTTCAAGCTGTTGAGCGTCAGCTTGTTGCTAAAGAGGTTTACGTTACTATCTAGTGAGGTTTAGTTAGTGTGATAATGAAGGCACAAGGGAAATTTTCAAAAAACAGTTGAAAAAAATTTTCAAAAAAAAATTTCAAAAAAAATAATCTATTATTTTTAAATAGATAATGTGAATTTAGCTACAAAGAGGCATAGATCACAGGAGAATCGCTTGAACCCGGGAGGTGGAGGTTGCAGTAAGCTGAGATCGCACTGTTGCACTCCAGTTTGGGCAACAAGAGCCAAACTCTGTCTCAAAAAAAAAAAAAAAGATATCACATAGGATGTGATACGTTATCACTTAATGAAGGTATCACATGGAATGATAGAGAATTGCATATTTTAGAGAAGTACTGACTGACTATAAATACATAAATAAATAATTCTAGTGGAAAAATCATCAAGCATATCCTGACCAATGGCTTAAAGTCTGCTTTTTGTTTTTGTGCTATTTGGATAGTAACAGTGGCCATTGCTTGATTAATTACTGGCAATGATAAATCAACTTAATATACGTTACCTCGCTCAATCAACCCAGCAACCTCTACAAGACAGACATTTTCACATAAGCATATTGAGGTTTGGTGAGGTTGAATAATGTGCTGCATCTTAAAAGGTGAAACCAGAACTGAGGCACTTGTCCTTCACCGCTAGGACACCTGCATGCAGGGAAACTTACAGGCAGTGAGATGGTCACAAGATTTCTGCCCATCTTCAAACAGATGCATACAGTACTTTGTGAACTCACTAGTGAAAACCTAAATGAAAGCAAAAATATGAGTGCACTGAGGTTTAAAATAAACCTAAACAAAGCCAATGGATTTCATAGTCTGAGCTTTGTCTGGTTTCCTGATTGGTGATGAAATATAGTTGAACTTATGAGCCTCTCAGAAAAATGGAGACATTTGTGGGGGAAAATATGCAAAACATGATAATCCTCTGGACTGTTGTTCTCATAAAATATAGACATCTCTCAGACAGCAACAACATTAGCCATGACCTACACATTCTTTTTAAAATACATCACTGAGTCCATTTAAAGTTACAAAATGTGTTACTCGGTGCACAAATAGAATAACAGTTGTTCAAACCAAATTAAGGGCTCCCCTCAGATATCTCTTTTATTGACAGTATATTGGTACACAGGAACTACAGCCATTAAATAAGTACTGTATTCTCAACCTAGAAGATTTGGTGGGAAATAACTTCTGAAATTGATGTTGAACAGAACAAGTGGCTTTCTAGTTAGTGTTTACAGATAATTTGGTTCTTCCTGAATTACTTGTGAGTTCTATCACATTCCTGTAATTACTTGTATATATCTTTCTCTTTTACTAAACTGCGAACCACTGGAGTGTGGGCTCTGAGTGTGATTCCTCTTTGTATACCCAGATTATAAAAATAATTCATGAGTTTATAGTGATACTAAAAAAGAAAAAAAGGGAGAAAGTGAAGCTACCCTTCAGAGAATAGTGTTAGATAACGAACATACAAAAGATGATAGAATTAGTAAATCACCATTTTCCAGACACCAACATAATACCATTCAGGAAAGTATCATTAATAGATGCTAAAACTATTGAGTGGTTAAAATATTGTTGGAGAACAAGATATTTACTGTCAAAGAATTAATCTCACATTCATTATAAACTATTCAGGAATAAACATTTCCTTTACAATTGGAAAAAGATAGTAGACACCTAAACCAAGTGACAATAATTAATATTAACAATAACTGGAGAGATTCTTTCTTCCTCTTCTCCTTTGATATGTTTTGGCTGTGTCCCCACTCAAATCTCATCTTGAGTTCTAGCTCCCACAATTCCGATGTGTCACAGGAGGGACCCAGTGGGAGTTAATTGAATCATGGGGGCAGGTCTTTCCTGTGCTGTTCTGGTGATAATGAATAAGCCTCACAAGATCTGATGGTTTTATAAAGGTGATTTCCCATGCACAAGCTCTCTCTTGCCTGCCGCAATATAAGACATCCCTTGCTCTTCTGCTATGATTGTGAGGCCTCTCCAGCCATGTGGAACTGCGAGTCAATTAAATGTCTTTCATTGTTTTTTTTTTTTTATTTTTTTTTTTTTTATTTTTTTTTTTTTTTGAGACGGAGTCTCGCTCTGTCGCCCAGGCTGGAGTGCAGTGGCGGGATCTCGGCTCACTGCAAGCTCCGCCTCCCGGGTTCACGCCATTCTCCTGCCTCAGCCTCCCAAGTAGCTGTGACTACAGGCGCCCGCCACTACGCCCGGCTAATTTTTTGTATTTTTAGTAGAGACGGGGTTTCACCGTTTTAGCCAGGATGGTCTCGATCTCCTGACCTCGTGATCCGCCCGCCTCGGCCTCCCAAAGTGCTGGGATTACAGGCGTGAGCCACCGCGCCCGGCCGTCTTTCATTGTTAAATTACCCAGTTTCAGGTATGTATTTTTTAGCAGCATGAGAACAGACTAATACATCTTTTCTTGGCAGAGCCTTTCTTCATGTGCCAGGCTTGGTGTGCCTGAAGCTATGCTTTCTAAATGGACCATTCTCCTTCTTCTTTCCTATGTTGTCCTCCTTTTTTTCTTCTTCCTTCTTCATCAGGCTGAGATATTTCAAATAGGAAGGCCCAGGAATTTGCTTACATATAGAGAAAATTGGAAATAATGGGAGCAAAGGAAAAAGGAGTACTAATATAGAAAAAAGAAATGCTGGAATGAATCCTGTGCCGTTGGATTGGAACTGGAGATATCTGTGTAAACTCATTGTTTCAAATAAATGGATAGCTTAAGGTATAGATAGATATGGATATAGAAATAGATAAAATAACAGAAGCAAGGTTGGGCACTGTGACTCATGCCTGTAATCCCAGGACTTTGGAAGGCCAAAGCAGGTGGATTTGTTGAACTCAGGAGTTCAAGACCAGCCTGGGCAACATGACGAGACCTTGTATCTACAAAATATTTGAAAATTAACAAGGTGTGGCGGTGCACACTTACAGTCCCAGCTACTCAGGAGGCTGAGGTGGGAGGATCGTTTGAGCCTGGGAGGATAGTTTGAGGCCAGGAGGTCGAGTCTGCAGTGAGCTGTGATCATGCCACTGCACTGGGTGACAGAGTGAGACCTTATCTTAAAAAACAAAAACAGCAACAACAACAACAACAACAAAAAAACAAAACAAAAAAGCCAAAGGAAACAACCAAAAAAATAGAAACAGGAATAAACATATGTATGTGTGGTTGTACATTCAGCTGTATGTCCAAATGTGCACACATATATTTTGTAACTCAATACCCTGAGAAGTCCAAGAAGTAAAGAAATCACTTTAGCAACAAGCATACCTAGTGCCTAGATCTAGTTTTCTAGAAATAATTCCACTAGAAGGAACCCTGGAGTTCTTCTCCAAGGGGGTCCTTGGAGAAATGGTTGATCCCAGGGATACAGCAGGCATGCCTTGTTGGGCTAAAGAATAAGGAAAGAGCAAAGAATAGTGGGGACATATCAAAAGGACACAGAAACCAGTTGGAAGGGGCTTCACTGGCCAAGGGTCAGACAATTCGAGCAGCAAAATAAAGGAGGTGAAATCTGACTTCAGTTTCCCTGAGTAGCTGGTGTATGACAGGGTAGGACAGATAACCCTAAAAGGACAAACCACAGCTGTCCTCAAGCAGCTCTGGCAGGCTTCAGCCTCTTAAGCACAGAGGCCTCATGCTGCTCTCCAACAGCTAGAATAGTGGAGATGTGCTTGAGGCAGAAGAGGAAACTAGAAGAGATGGCACCAGGAAGTGAGGTCCAAAACAAACCAACAAATAAATAATGATGGTAATGGATGAAGACTCTTTGAGTAAAGTAGAAAGCCATGAATCTATAATGATGTTAACTAAGTAATTAGGTTCACTGGCACAAAGCATAATCTCAACAGTGTTGTCGAATGTCACAGTCCATCTTCAGGCAAGAATAATAAAAAAAATGCTAAAACTGATGGGTGAATGTATTAGTCTGTTCTCATGCTGCTAATAAAGACATACCCAAGACTGGGTAATTTATAAAGGAAAGAGGTTTAATTGACACACAGTTCCACATGGCTGGGGAGGCCTGACAATCATGGTGGAAAGCAAAGGAGGAGCAAAGGCATGTCTTACATGGTGGCAGGTAAAAGACTATGCACAGGAGAACTCCCCTTTATAAAACTATCAGATCTCATGAGACTTATTCACTATCATGAGAACAGCACAGGAAAAACTGCCCCCATGGCTTAATTACCTCCCACCAGGTCCCTCCTGCAACACATGGAGATTATAGGAGCTACAATTCAAGATGAGATTTGGGTGGGGACATAGCCAAATCATATCAGTGAAGTATCATGAGGAATAGGATATTCACATAGCCTCAAAGTGTTTTGTTAATTACTTATTAATTAATAATGACAACATATTTAACCAATTTTCAAGTAGAGAAAACTGGAAGACACCATCTTAACCAAGTTTTCAAAGTTAACATCATCAGATAAAGGACAAATTGATACCTTGTGGGTCTTGATATGATGCACTGAGGAGACCACATCATTTATGTGGTATTTCTGTCAAAAATGCACAAATCATGAGAAATCAGACAAAACCAATTTGGGGGACTTTCTACAAAGTAACTCTTCAAAAGTAACAAGAGCATGAAAGAGAAAGACAGGAAATGTTTCAGACTGAAGGGATCTAAAAAAGCATGTCAACTAAATGTGTCATGTGATCCTGGATTAGATCTAGGACCTTTGATGGACATCACTGGACGATTGGTAAAATTTGAAAGGGGCCTATGGATTAGATGGTAATTTACAATGCTAATTTCCTTGTCCTAGTGTGATTTTGTAGTAGATTGTCCTTGTATACACGAAACAAACACTGAAATATTAAGAGATAACATGGTATAATATCTGCAACTTATTCTCAAATGGCTCAGAAATATTATCAGAGGATCTGGGTGATAAAAACAAAGGGGAAACTTTTGTTTGAGATGTCAAAACACATATCTATATAATTTATGATTTCAAAAGGTAACCACAATGGAAGCTGATATTTAGGACTGAATGAAAATGAATTTACTTATGCAAATTTGTAGAATACAGTTATGATGGTAGTCGAAAGGAATTATAGCACTTGAAATACTTATATTAGAAAAAAATATATATGTCATTGGTGACAACATGGATGAACCTGGAGGACATAAGTTAGGTGAAATAATTCAGGTTCAGAAAGATAAATGCCATATGATTCCATCTGTGAAATATGAAAAAGTGAAACCTCATCAGAACAAGGTGTAAAATGGTGATTACCAGACTTGGGAATAAGGGAACTAGGGAGATGTTGATCAAAGGACACAAAATTTCAGTTAGACAGGAGGAATAAATTCAAGAGACCTATAAAAAATAGCACATCATGGTGACTGCAGTTAATAACAATATATTGTGTATTTGAAATGTGTTGCCGGGAGCGGTGGCTCACACCTGTAATCCCAGTCCTTTGGAAGGCCAAGGTGGGCAGATCATTTGAGGTCAGGAGTTCGAGACCAGCCTGGCCAACATGGTGAAACCCCTCTCTACTAAAAATACAAAAATTAGCCAGGCATGGTGGTGCATGCCTGTAATCCCAGCTACTTGGGAGGCTGAGGCAGGAGAATTGCTTGAACCCAGGAGGTGGAGTTTGCAGTGAGCTGAGATTGCACCACTGCACTCCAGCTTGGGCAACAGAGCAAGATTCCGTCTCAAAAATAAATAAATAAATAAATAAATAAGAAATTTGCTAAGAGAGTAAATTTTGTGTTCTCACCACAAGAAAATAAGTATGTGAGGTAATTCATATGCTAAATAGCTTGAATTTTCCATTTCACAATGTATGCATATACCAAAACATCATGTTGTATACCATAACCACACAATTTTTATTTGTCAATTAAAATAAATAAATGAACTTTTTAAAGGAAAATAAGAATATAAATAGGACAAAATGATATTATGTACTTCCCAGTAATGTCATTTGAGAAAGACATTATATCATCATTGTAATATTTTTGGCAAAAATATTTCAACTGATTCTAATCATGAGGAAACAATCAGACAAACTGAAACTGTGGGACATTCTATCAAACACCTGGCCCAAATGTTTCAAAAATGTCAGTCTCATGGAAGTCAAAGAAAAGTAACAAGAACAAAAACAGAACACTCCTAGAATAAAAGCTAGAAAAACTCATGATCTAAATGCAATGCCTGTCTGGTCCTTGTTTTGCCCTGGATTTTTTTTTAAAAAGCTATAAATGTCAATGCTATTATTTAGACAATTGGGGACATTTGAACATAACATAATAGTATTACATAGTATTAACTGTATAGCTTGTGACAATATTATATTTATGTAGAATAGTATTTTTGTTCTCGAGAGGTGATGTGTCATGACATCAGCAATGATAAACAGATAATAAATCTGACAAGTGTTAATACTTGGAAAATCTAGGGGATGAGTACCCTGATAGTTGGAAGTTCATTGTATTGTGAGGTTATTTTCAATGTTTCTTGAGGTTTTGCGTTTAAGAAGGATTTGTTAAGCACTATGTGCTGGAAATACAAATAAACAAGACCCTTCCCCAAGGAAATCCCATTTTTATGGAAGATGTGACATGATGAAATTGCTGTAGTGTATGCTGATAGGTGCATGAATACAGACATTAAAAATACACATTGAATGTAGCGTAAATTTTGTTAATAAAAACATCAGAAATAAAGCTTAGAAAATTAAAATTCTCATATGTCATAGTCCAGAGATAACTATTGTTAACACTTATATATGTTCTTTCTTTCCTCTCCCTTCCTCTCCCTTCTCTTCTCTTGCTCTCTACCTTTGGGAGATGGGAGTACTAAATGGAAGTCACATGGAATTTTCAGTTCTGTTCTCTGACTTTTTCACTCATTATGTCATTGCAGAGTATTTTCCTTGCCATTAACATTTCTTTGAAATTTCCATTTTGGCTGCACAATATTTAATTATACTCCCCCATTGTTGAAGATTTTGACCATTTCCAAATATTCTCTATTATAAATGATTATAAGAAGGAAATGATTAATCAAAAAGGGGTTTGGATAGCAAGAGAAAATGCTGGTCATAGTATGAAAGTAAGTAAATTTTTAATATATTCCTTTTGATATATTCCTTTCACTCATTTTATAACAGGAGATGCTACCCCTTATCTAATTTTCCAGTTAGTTTACATAATGATTTTGCTGGATTAGCTCATAGTGGTATTTTATATTGAAGTAACAATATAGCAATATCAGGTTATATGTTAATATTAAATATTTGTAATGTGAAATTAAAATTCTTCATTTGATTTTTCTACTTCTGAAAGAAGTTTTAATATAAAATGCAATTTAAAGGAAACATTTTATTATATTAAAAATAATTTTCCTTATTTAATATCCCTCTCCCTTTAACCTTCCCCCTTAAACTTCTCTGTGGATTTTATTATTTCTTGAAATGAAAATGTCTTTGGGCATTTATGTATCTGAAAGATAAAATGCACAACAGTTAAAGATAATTTTTCACCTACTCTGTTGAGGAAAAAAATTCAGTGTTGGTTTTTTTTGTTTTTGTTTGTGAGACAAAGTCTTGTTCTGTTGCCCAGGCTGGAGCGCAGTGGGGTGATCATGGCTCACTGCAGCCTCAGCCTCTTGGGCTCAAACAATCCTCCCACGTCAGCCTCTCAAGTAGCTGGGACCACAGGCACACACCATCACATTCAGCTATTTCTTTTGTGTGTGTGTGTGTGTGTGTGTGTACACTGGTCTCCCTATGTTGGCCAGACTGGTCTCAAACTCCTGGCCTCCCAAAGTGTTGCCACTACAGGCGTGAGCCATTGCACTGGGCTACAGTGTTGTTTGGAGAAATTTAAAGGGGAAAGGCACTCTCACATACCATTTATGGGAGTGCAATTTGATATAACTTTTTTGTAGGATAATATATTTAAAATGCTAATATGCATAACCATGTTCTTATCCGTATTTTAAGGTTTTAAAAACATATACAGACAACTTTTAATTGTCCTTGGGAGAGAGAGACTAATATATAGACTAATACAGCTAACGGAAACATTAAAATCCACTGACAGTCACTTTACACAGGCACTTAAGTCCCCTCTTTCCTCAAAGATTTTATTAAATCCTCTAATAAATAGCAAAATGATGGACAACATGATCCCCTGCTTTCCTCTATCTCCAAACTACTCTTGGCAGATGTATCAGTGATTAGTGAAATAGCTAAATAGCCACAGTGAGACAAAGTAAAGGCCAAATGCTTGTATAATCCCCAAACAGGACAGGTAGCCACTAAATAATTAAGGTTTGACTGTGCAGTAGATATAAATTATGCCTAACAAATCCCTTCTGCTCAGCCCTTTCATTATATAATACAAAATGGATTGTATAGAGTAAGTCTTTCCACAAATGGTTCGTAGCAGAGGATGTTTCAATGAGGATTCTAAATTAGTTAAATGGTCTAAGTACAGAGGAGACAAAAAGGATAATTAGAAACATGCTAAATGGTTGGCCAGTACTAAAGTCTCTAATACCTCTTCGGAGACTCCTTTATGTTATCTCTATTCCTATAAAGAAATGGTAACAAATCAAATAGATTATATCCTCAGAAGGCATTTTGCAATCGTACAAGTGTCCCTAAATGGCAACTTAACTGGAAATAAATAAAAACTTTACCTTATACGGTTATAACCCACAATTTTCTTAATGAGCAGAGCTGCCTATTGGGTTTTTATAGCTAGTCTTTCCCACTTTCAAACTCTGAAGACATGAAATGTTCTTTTTGTTATAGCCCAGAAGCTTTTTTGTACTCTAAATGTACCAAAAATATTTTTATTTATGTGTCTGTGCACACTGTGTATCTCAACACAAATGTGACGGGTCCTCCAGTGATGAGTCAGGAAGCTTGGAAAGTAAAGTTACCTCACGTGCTAAGATCTATTTCTTCCAATGTATGACAGTTGTTTACATTTAAGATCTTAAAAGGTTAAGTGAAGCATCAGTATTGTCCTCTCGATGTTACTCTTTATATTTAGATTAATGTCTTTTATATTGAAATGCAATTACCACTTATTTTATCAATATCATAGAGTCTGAAAATACTTATTTTTCTCCTTAACCTATTATTATATTATTTTAGTTGTTATATTAAAATGCAACTCCTTGATTTAGTGTTATTTATGTACTTTTGTAATGTAATCAATTACATCCAATCCATAAGTAGCAGCAGGATTACTGACAACATTCAGCACAAGCAATGAGGTTGATTTCTAGATTTTAGACACTTTGTTGGCTGCTAAATAAAAACAGCAGTTCTGGCCAGGTGCGGTGGCTCACACCTATAATCCCAGCACTTTGGGAAGCCGAGGTGGGAGTTTGAGACCAGCATGAGATCAGGAGTTTGAGACCAGCCTGGCAAACATGGAGAAAACCCATCTCTACTAAAAATACAGAAATTATCCAGTTTGGGTGACAAGCGCCTGTAATCCCAGCTACTCCGGAGGCTGAGGCAGGAAAATGGCTTGAACCTGTGAGGCAGAGGTTGCAGTGAACCTAGATTGTGCCAGGGCACTCCAGCCTGGGCTACAAAGTGAGATTCTGTGAAAAAATAAATAAAAATTTAAAAAAAACCTAGCAGTTTTAAATTACGAAGTTAATGATTTATCCTTTTAACTCATTTCCTTTTATTTCACTAGGTCTAGTTTTTTTATTTTTTAAAAATAATTAATTTATTAATTTTTTAAAAATAGAGACAGGAGTCTCATTGCCCAGACTGGTCTCAAACTCCTAGAGTCCAGAGATCCTTGAGTTCCTCTCACCTTGGCCTCCCAAAGTCCTGGGATTACAGGTGTGAGCCACCATGCCTGGCCTAGGTCCAGTTTTATTTATTTATTTTTTCTTAAAAATTGATCATGCTGTACTATCTTTGCTCTCCTGTTGGTAGACTCAAGATAAAAATACAACAAACATTTAATGAGAGTCAACTACTCATCTTGCCTAGGGTAGGAAAGACTTAATGAAGTTCAGTTCTGGAAATGCCATTATAAAGTGGAAATGTGTGAAGCAGACTGTGTTCCAATTGGTAGATACAATATTATAAGTGGATTATTAATGACTCATCAAAGAACTTGGCATTTAAAAATATAGAAATGTATTATGAATATCTAACAATTAAAAAATTTATCTCAAACCCATAAAATTGAGCTATAAATTATGAAATTATAGATTAGATTGCTAGAAGGTACTTGTTGACTAATCTAATTTAATATCCTCATTTTACAAATGAGGAAACCAAGGTACAGATAAGTTAAATAATTTTTTTTTTTTTGAGACAGAGTCATACTCTGTCACCCAGGCTGGAGTGCAGTGGCACGATCTTAGCTCACTGCAACCACTGCCTCCTGGGTTCAAGCAATTCTCCTGCCTCAGCCTCCCAAGTAGCTGGGATTACAAGTGCATGCCGCCACACTCAGCTAATTTTTTGTATTTTTAGTACAGATGGGGTTTCGCCATGACGGCCAGGCTGGTCTCAAACTCCTGACCTCAAGTGATCCACCCGCCTCGGCCTCCCAAAGTGCTGGGATTACAGGCATGAGCCACTGCACCCGGCCCAAGTTAAATAATTCTAATCAAAATCATACAATTATATTGTAGCAAAGATGGGGCTACAAACTAACATATCAAACTCTCAGTTTGATGCTCATTTTAGTGCCACATACTGACCTCCTTAAATGAGTAGTGTATATTTGTAGTCCAAAATCCATTAGCCTCAAAAATGAATGGAAGAATCTATAAATAAGTAGATGCTGATTCTAAAGATGCCCTATAACACAGTAATTATTATATTACTAAGGCATATTAGTAATTATTTTGATTACTAACATCTTAAAATTTCTTTTCTCTTTCTCTTTCTCTCCCTTCCTTTCTTCCTTCCCTTCCCCTTCCTTTCTTCGTTCCTTCCTTCCTTCCTTCCTTTTTCTTTTCTCTTTTCTTTCTCCTTCCTTCCCTCTTTCCTTCCTTCCTTCCTTCCTTTCTTTCTCTCTCTTTCTTTCTCTCTCTGTCTCTTTCTTTCTGTCTCTCTCTCTTTCTTTTTTAGAGACAGAGTCTTGCTTTGTCACCCAGGATGGAGTACACTGACACAATCGTGCTCACTGTAACCTTCAACTCCTGGGCTCAATTGATCATCTAGTCTCAGCCTCCCAAGTAGCTAGGACTACAGGTGCACACCACCACACCCAGCTAAATTGAAAAAAAAAATTGTAGAGATGAGGTTTCACTATGTTGCCCAGACTGGTCTTCAATTCCTGGCCTCAGGTGATCCTCCCACCTCAGGCTCCCAAAGTGCTTGAATTAAAGGCATAAGATACTGCATCTAGCCTCATCTTAAAATCTAAAACTACTTCTTTCTCAGTAATCTCCTTGGAGCAAGGTGTAATACATTTTTCAGCCAATCATCTCTTTTTCACAATAATAGCCTTTGCAACATCTTAGAGGAATCAACAAATATTTATTGAGCATCTTTTATTTTTGAACCAGGGACTGTTCTAGGCAGTTGGGATGCAGTGGTTGAACCAGACAGAGAAGGTTCCTGTTATTACAGAGCTTACATTCTAATATGTGTGCATGCACACGTTTGTGTGTGTGTACATGCATGTAGTAGTCATAGGGAGCAAACAAAATGAAATAAGAAAATATCACTGACATTGTTTCGATGCTTGTCCCCTCCAAATATCATGTTGAAATGTGTTCCCCAATGTTGCTGCTGGAGCCTACTGGAAGGTGTTTGGGTCATGGGGGTGGATCTCTTATGAATGGCTTGGTGCCTTCCCCATGGTAATTAGTGATTTCACATTCTATTAGTTCACACGAGAGCTGGTTGTTTAAAAGAGCCTGGCATCTCCTCCTCTCTCTCTTGCTCCCTCTCTTGCCATGTGATACACTGGCTGCCCGTTTGCCTTCTGCCATGATCGCAAGCTTCCTGAAGCTTTGCCAGAAGCTGAGCACATGCCATGCTTGTACAGCCCGCAGAACTGTGAGCCAAATAAACTTCTTTTTATAAATTACCCAGTCTAAGGTATTCCTTTATAGTGATGCAAAATGGGCTAATGGAATCACAAAGTAATAAAAGCTCTGAGGAATAAAAGGGTGATGGAGAATAACTGCAGGCTACTCTAGTGTGGAAAATAAAGGTTTCCTGAGGAACTGAATACTAAAGAAAAGAATGACTGTAATCCCAGCACTTTAAGAGGCGGAGGTGAGAGGATCACTTGAGGCCAGGAGTTCAAAACCAGCTGGGTAACATAGTGAGACCCCTGTCTCTACAAAATAAATAAATAAATACATAAATAATTGGGCTGGGCATGGTCACTCATGCCTGTAATCCCAGCAATTTGGGAGGCCGAGGCAGGTGGATCACCTGAGGTTGGGAGTTCGAGACCAGCCTGATCAACATGGAAAAACCCCATGTATACTAAAAATACTAAATTAGCTGGGTGTGGTGGTGCATGCCTGTAATTCCAGCTACTGGGGAGGCTGAGGCAGGAGAATCAGTTGAACCCGGGAGGCGGAGGTTGCAGTGAGCCAAGATCACGCCATTGCACTCCAGCCTGGGTAAAAAGAGCGAAACTCTGTCTCAATAAATAAATAAATAAGCCGGGCATGGTGGTGCAAACCTGTAGTCCTAGCTACTCGGGAGGCTGAGGTAGGAGGACCACTTGTGCCCAGGAGTTTAAAGTTAAAGTGAGCTATGATTATGCTACTGCACTCCAGCCTGGATGACAGAGTGAAACACTGTCAAAGAAAGAGAGAAAGAGAAAGAAAGAAAGAAAGAAAGAAAGAAAGAAAGAAAGAAAGAAAGAAAGAGAGAGAGAAAGGAAGGAACAAGCCAACTAGAAAATAGCTGTTAAAGAACACCCCAAGCAAAGGTGAAAGCTAATGTAAAGGTAGGGGATAAAGTTGGCCCACTCAAGAAACAGTAAAAGAAAGAAGTAATACTGATTAAAACAGAGATAATAAAATAGAATAGGCCAGGAATGATGTGTCATGCTTAATCCCAACACTTTAGGAGGCTGAGGTGGGAGGATTGCTTGAACCCAGGAGTTTGAGACCAGCCTGGGCAACATAGACCCCTGTCTCTATAAAGAAATAAGTAAATAAAAATTAGCTGGGTATTGGGTGTGGTGGCACATACTTGTGATCCCAGCTTCTTGGGAGGCTAAGGTGGGAGGATCGGTTGAGCCCAAAAGGTCGAGGCTGCAGTGAACCATGATCATGCCACTGTACTCCAGCCTGGGTGACAGAGCAAGACCCTGTCTCAAATAAACAAACAAATAAGCATAAATAAATAAATAAAATAAGAATATAGAAAGACAATAGAGAAAATAAATAAAACCCAAAGTTGTTTCTTCAAAAAGATTAACAAAATGACAAATGATTAGAGTGACAAAGAAAAAAACAGAGAAGAATCAAATTACTAAAATCAGAAATGAAAATGGAGGCATACCAATTTTATAGAAATAAAGAGATTATAAAAGAATGAAACACGAAGACTGAAACACAAAGAAATAGAAAATCTGAATAGACTCATCACTAGTAAGAAGATTGAATTAGTAATCAAAAACCACCCAACAACAACAAAAAAAGCCCTGAACCTGAAGTTTGCCACCTCCACTGGCAAATTCTATCAAACATTTAAAGAAGAATCAACAACAATCCTTCTTCAGCTCTTCCAAAAAAACTAAAGAAACATCTTCTAACTCATTCTATGAGGCCAACAACCCTCTAATACCAAAGCCAGACAAAAACTACAAGAAAAGTGCAGACCAATATCCCTTATGAACACTGATGCAAAAATTATCAACAAAATACTAGCAAACAGAATTCAACAGCATATTAAAAGGATTATACACCATGACCAAGTAGAATTTATTCCTAGAATGCAAGGATGGTTCAACATATGAGAATTAATTAACATAATATTAACATAATTAATTAACATTAATTATTTAACATTAATTAACATTAACAGAACGAAGGAGAAAACCCACATGATCATCTTAATTGATGCAGAAAAAAGCATTTTACAAAATGTAATACCCTTTCATGATAAAAATGTACAACAAACCAGAAATAAAACCACCTCCATGTAAAAACTATATATGAAAAACCCACAGCTAACATAATACTCAGTTTGCCTTTTCATGGGAGTAGTTTTGAATGAAGTTTTAAAACAAATAAGATTTTCCCAATATTGTTCTATTCCAATTGCATTCTGTTAGTCAAAGCTCATCAAACATATAACCCTGATCCAAAGGGAGGGAGCTGAAAATTTACATGACAAAGGATGTGGATACAGGGGCTATAAAAGGTTGTGGGAATTTGGCAATATATCACAGCCATCTTCATGTTTGTAATGGATATTTTTTTTCAGGCCACACACCATATATTCAGCCTATTTTCACCAATTGTATTCCAACTTCTTTTTGGTGAACCATTTCTTCCCCAATGTATGCACTCTTGGTAAATTAAGCTATTTTGTGCTCCTATGTAATCTAAGCTAGGGGTGGCAGAGCAGGACCAGAACTAGGTTAAGGCAAGTGAAGTTCTTAGGGTGCAAAATTTAAGTAGCACATGTATTTATATAACATTGAGTGTATTAATCTTTTTTTTTTTTTTGAGACAGAGTCTCACTCTGTCACCCAGGCTGGAGTGCAGTGGCACCATCTCGGCTCACTGCAACCTCCACCTCCCAAGTTCAAGCCATTTTCCTGCCTCAGCCTCCCGAATAGCTGGGATTACAGGTGTGCAACAGCATGACTTGTTAATTTTTGTATTTTTAGTAGAGATGGGTTTTCACCATGTTGCCCAGGCTGGTCTCAAACTCCTGACCTCAAATGATCTGCCCACCTCAGCCTCCCAAAGTGCTGGGATTACAGCACCCATCACACCCAGCCAGTATTAGCCTATTTTCACACTGCTATAAAGAAATACCCAAGACTGGGTAATTTATAAAGGAAAGAGGTTTAATTGACTCACAGTTCTGCATGGCTGGGGAGGCCTCAGGAAACTTACAATCATGGCAGAAGGTGTAGGGAAAGCAAGGCATGTCTTACATGGCAGCAGGAGAGAACAGAGCGGTGGGGATCTGCCAAACACTTTTTAAAACCACCAGATCTCATAAGACTTCATTCACTATCACAAGCACAGCATGGGGTAAACTGCCCCCATAATCCAATCACCTCCCACCAGGTCCCTCCCTTGTCACGTGGGGATTACAATTCAAGATGAGATTTGGGTGGGGACACAGAAACAAACCTTATCTCTGCAAGTGTCTCCTTAAATTTTGCACCTTAGGCAATATACTTGCTTCATCCTAGTCTTTGCTCTGGTCCCCAGCATTCACTCTCCTCTTCCATTTTTTAGCAGTAGAATATTTTCAAGTTTTAGTTTGGAGACCACATTTCTAACTTTACTTTCAGATCTGTGTATGTGTGTCTAGCATTCAGCAAACGGGAAATGAACAGAAATATTATATTCAACTTCTAGATGGCAGCATCTTTTAAAAGAATTAAGCTGCTTATCCACTAAGCTCTGTATCCTCGTTTCATGTGAGCCGTCTGTAGTTATCTGGCTAGTCGACAGTCCCTAAGGGATAACAGTACAATGAAACAAAAGGGACCACGTGGTCTTTGAATGACATTGTGGGACAGATTATCTGCCTTGAACTATAATGTGGAGTGTTACATGAGAGATAAATAAATTTATATTTATTTTTGATCCACTGTATTTTGGAGTGTTCGTTGCTTTAAAACACAAAGTCAATCAGTCTTCTGGGTTTTTAATCTTAAGCTCAGTGAAACCAAGACAGAAAAAGCAGTTGGAGCTAATTCCAGTAGCAGCATATTGACAAGAGATTTTAGGGATTTCTGTAGCCTGGACGATCTACACTAGAGCTATATTTTAACTCCTGTTCAATCTTGAACCTGTTTTAGAAATGTTTCATTAATTTTGTGACTTCTCTGTTATCTTTTCTACAAATACAATTTGCTGAATTTTGCCAGAATTAATTGTGTTACTTGTAACAATAATCACATTCATACTTTCCCATATTTTGGAATATTTTCTAATGATAGATTTGCAAGCATTGGGATTACTAAGGCAACATTCTTGACAGTTTTTCTAGACTTTGATATAAATACCTATCTATGTGATTCCAGAGGCCAAACTAAATAAAAAAAAATATTCTTTATACTTGCAGGAGATGACAAAAGTAAAGTAATTGCTTTCTTTACAGGGAAGTATTTTAGAGAAGGAAAAGGGAATAACTTTTTTCCATATGACCTTCTGTGATAATGTGTGGCTATTGCTGTAATTGTGCTAATGAGATAATTATGCCTAGGTCCTTTAGTAAAGGCAACATACCAACATTAAACTTTAGGCATACAATAGCTTTATACCAAAGACACAGCTTGGTATGTGTATAGTATGTAGTTTGACTGTGTTGTGACAGGAGGGAAGGGGTCTGAAAAGGGAAGGCTAGAGTGAAAAAGACACGTGGAGAAAAGAGATATAATAAAAAAGTGCAGGGCATTGGTATATTAACTGGTTCACCTCCTAGTGAATCAGAAAGCAAGGCTTTGGTTGTAAGGATGACTAATGTTAACGATTCTTTGCCTATTGTTTACAATCTAACTTGTAGTTCCTTTTATAAATGAAAAAAAAATTCTGTGATTGTATATTCAATTACTCTGCTTTGGAGGTCCAGTACCAAAAGTGAACACAGTTGTGGGTTTTAATAAACATTTGTTTAGAATCCATCCCATTCCTGGCCGGGTGCGGTGGCTCATGCCTGTAATCCCAGAGTGCTGGGGCAGCACTCTGGGATTACAGGCATGAGCCACCGCACCCGGCCCTCATTATTTATTTGTAGACTTGCCCCTCTAAAAAAGAAACTGAACAGTTTATCTTTGAATTGCTGAGAATTCTTAGTTTTCAAAAATTTAGATTACATATTATTCACTATCCAAGGGTAATTTTTATGATGTGGGAGGTTTAATTTACTTATTAAAAATTTAGCAAATGAAGTCTGTGTTAAATGAAAAACAGGTTTGTGACTTTCCATGAAGGTCAGGGCAACCACATTTTGAAATCATTAGCAATGCTACTTGGTTCAGAGAGTTAGTTTACCGCATATTTTTAAGGCAAAACTCTTTAATCTACTTGGGAAAAAAAAGACATTTTTTTCCCTGAGATTCATATTTCTTTCCTGCACAGATTTAGCCACGGAATTGACACATTAAAATTTTCAAAGGATAATAAAAACATGACACTTGAAAGTTTTCAAAACTTGGCTTATTTACAAATTTTTCAGTATTTTATTATACGTTATTTCTGTTCTATTAAATCTGAAAACAAAGAATCTTCACTGTTTATTCAAGTAATATTCACTCATTCAAATTAGACACATTTTTAATTTTTTTAATTTTTTTTTTTTTTTTTTTTTGAGACAGAGTCTCACTCTGTCACCCAGGCTGGAGTGCAGTGTCATGATCTCAGCTCACCGCAACCTCTGCCTCCTGGGTTCAAGCAATTCTCCTGCCTCAGCCTCCCAAGTAGCTGGGACTACAGGCACGCAGCACCACGCTGGCTAATTTTTGTATTTTTAGTACAGATGGGGTTTCACCATGTTGGCCAGGCTGGTCTCAAACTCCTGACCTCAGTTGATCTGCCTGCCTCGGCCTCCCAAAATGCTGGGATTACAGGCGTTAGCCACTGCACCTGGCCAAATAAGACACATTTATTGAGCACCTTCTATGTACCAGGGAGTGAATAAAGCAGAGAATGAAATAAATGTCCTGCTCTCATGGTACTTAGAGTTTAGTGAAATATGCATACAATAAATATGAAAACATATACATATAAGCCAGGTGGTGATAAATGTTATGAAGAAAAATAAAGCCGGGCAAAGGGACAGCAAGCAACAGAGGTGACTGCTATTTTATATAGCTTGTCCAGGATCTTCACTCTTATGGTTTATAATCTCATTTTGGAGATCAATGTAATTTAAGGGTCATGCTAATAATTCCAATGCCCTGGTCCTACAAAGATTCTACCATATCTAATATATAATACATGCACACACACAAATCTTTTAGAAAAGACAGTATTCAGCCAGGTGTGGTGGTATATGTCTGTAATCCCAGCTACTTGGGAGACTGAGGCAGGAGGATCACTTGAGCCTAGGAATTCCAGGCTGTAGTGAGCTATGACTACATCACTGTACTCCAGCCTGGATAACAGAGTGAGACCCTATCTCGCTATCTCAAAAAAAGCAAAAAAAAGGGCTGGGTACATTGGCTCAATGCCTGTAATCCCAGCACTTTGGGAGGCCAAGTCTAGAGGACTGCTTGAACCCAGGAGTTCAAGACCAGCCTGGGCAACATAGCAAGACCCCATCTCTACAAAAAATAAAAAATAAAAAAAATTAGCTGGGCATGGTAGTACATACCTGTGCTCCCAGCTACTTAGGAGGGTAAGGTGGGATGATTGCTTGATCCCAGGAGGTTGAGGCTGCACTGAGCCATGTTCGCACCGCTGCACTCCAGCCTGGGTGACAGAGTTAGACTCTGTCTCCAAAAAAAGAGCTAAAACAAAAAGAAAATATTAATATTTGACCTGATGATTAATTATATATCTAAGCACGGTGTTATTTGGCAATATAAGAATTATGAAATATGAGGCTAAGTGAATATGGTTTAATTTTTGAGATACTGAAAATCTTTTATTTATAAGCAAATTGTGTTTTTAAAAGTTCATTTGTAAATACGTATTTGAATCTATGAACATTTTCCCATAGAAACAATATTAAGTATAAGGATGTATATCCAAGTTTATTATTTACCTGAAATGCTGTTAATAACAATTGAAGAAATAGTAGAAAATAATATTGTTTCTGATTACAGTCTTTAAACAAATGGAGTATCTATACAAAAGAATCAGATTTTTTTCCTAAGGGATAATACTGAAAAAGATTGAGGTCATTTAGAGGAAAACAGACAGAGAGAAAAAAAGAAAGAGACTGTCGAGGGGACTTAGGGATATTTTAAGTCTTTAGAGGTTGCTGGGATCATTCGTTATGTCTAATTGCTTTTTATATTGCTTATTCCCCTATTTTTGAGAAATCATGTTATTTAACACTACTCATATTAAATCATGATTGAAGCTGATTTTTTTCTCTTTTCACAAATCTAATTAAGAAGAGAGGCAAAAAGAGAGTAAGTTTTTTTTGTTTGTTTGTTTGTTTTTGGCTTGGAAATAATCAAAAAGGAAAAATAAAGTTTATTTATAAGAATATTACAGGCTGGGCACGGTGGCTCACACCCTGTAGTCCCAGTGATAGGTGAAGCCAGCTGGACTGCCTGGGTAGAATGGTGACTTGGAGAACTTTTCTGTCTAGCTAAAGGATTGTAAATGCACCAATCAGCACTCTGTGTCTAGCAAAGGGATTGTAAATGCACCAATCAGCACTCTGTAAAAACGCACCAATCAGCACTCTGTGTCTAGCTAAAGGATTGTAAACGCACCAATCAGCACTCTGTAAAATGGACCAATCAGCACTCTGTAAAATGGACCCATCAGCGCTCTGTAAAATGGACCCATCAGCAGGATGGGGGTGGGGCCAAATAAGGAATAAAAGCGGACCACCCTAGCCAGCAGCTGCAACCTGCTCCTGTCCTCTTCCATGCTGTGGAAGCTTTGTCCTTTTGCTCTTCACAATAAATCTTGCTGCTGCTCACTCTTTGGGTCCGCACTACCTTTATGAGCTGTAACACTCACTGAGAAGGTCTGCAGCTTCACTCCTCAAGTCAGCGACACCACGAACCCACCAGAAGGAGGAAACTCTGGACACATCTGAACATCTAAAGGAACAAACTCCGGACCCACCATCTTTAAGAGCTGTAACACTCACCGCGAGGGTCCGCGGCTTCGTTCTTGAAGTCAGTGAGACCAAGAACCCACAAGAAGGAATAAATTCTGGACACACCAGTGCTTTGGGAGGCTGAGCTGGGTGAATCGTTTGAGCCTAGGAGTTCAAGAGCAGTCTTGCCAACATGGCAAAAACCCCGTCTCTACAAAAAACACAAAAATTTAGCTAGGTATGGTGGTGTGCTCCTGTAGTTCCAGCTACTCAGGAGTCTGAGGTGGGAGGTTGAGGCTACAGTGAGCTGTGAGGTTGCTTGAGCCTGGGAGGTCGAGGCTACAGTCAGCTGTGACTGTGCCACCGCACTCCAGCGTAGGTGTTACTCAAATCCTGCTTCAATGCAATATTGCAATGCAATATTGAAGCACAATTTGAAATAATGAAGAGTTGAAAAGAAACTTAACGTCCACTGGTAGGAAAATAAGAAAAAAATTTAGACTTAGAATATATTGAAAAAGCCACTAAAGAGAATGCTTCTGACGAATACGTAATGAAGAAGGAAGAAAACAAAGTATGTTTACTGCAAAAGAAAAGGAAAAAAAGCTGGTGACAAGCATATCTGATTCCATACAGATTTTTCTAGAAGCTTTTAAACGAAAAAATTTCAAGTGTTATTTCTAGGTGATAAAATAACTGGTAGTTTAAAGCTTTTTCTCTATATTTTTTAGATTTCTAAAATGAACATTATTGATTTTACAATTTTAAACACACTTTTCTGAGTAATAGTAATAAATGCAACCCATACTTTTCTGAGTATGAGTTGCATAGGAAAAGTAAGAAAAGGATTTACAGTAACTATACTAAAACTATATATAAATGTATAAACTACATTTTAATGAATCTATACGAAGAATAAAATTTCTAAGAAGAAAGCAACTGAAAAGAAAATTTTTATTTACCTCATTCTTTTTTAAATGAAAGAAACAGCCTGGGGGTAAAGATTCTGTTGACAGACAATCATGCTGGCCCCAGATTTCAGGACCTTTGTAACAGGTCTCTATACTAAATTACCTCTATTGAACTACCTTGTGAGGGCTCTATTTTTCTGACTGGATGCTGATTAACGGTAGTATTTTTCTTCTAAGTAGTACTCCTGAATAGCAAAAATTAGATGTGCAAAATCATTCTACATATTGCATACCGAGCACTTTTCTCTCTCTGTCTTCTGTGTGTTCAAGCATAGTCAGCACACTCCTTTGTGCAACGTGTGCCCCTCTCATCTTCCACCAGCTATCCTCAGCCAGAAACCAGGTGGCTCTGGCCATGAGTAAAATCTGGATTGGGATCAAAAAAGGGGTTTAAATCCTTTTTTTGGATTATCAGAATCCAAAGATTATGGAAGCAGAATCCTTGCTTAAAATATTGTTTTAAAAATTCAAAAAATGAGTAGTATATTCCAGAACATAGCGCCTATTCTGACATGCTATTTATTGCCAGTGTAATAGATCATCAGGACCATCTAATCTAGGGTCTGTGTTTCCTCCAGGCAGCAAATTTTTTTTTACTGGTGCTCTGACCTTAAATGAATCTCACTATATTGCAGGAATCATCAGATAATTCTCATGAATGTCCTTGTTTTTAAAGTTTTTTAAAATGAGACTTAAGAAGCAGCAGGCCAGGCAGCTCCCTCCTGTAATCCCAGTGTTTTGGGAGGTCAAGGCAGGAGAATAGCTTCAGCTCAGGAGTTTGAAATCACAGTGAGACCTGTAACTGTGTGACTGTGTGACTGTGTGACTGTGCCACTGCACTCCGCTTTAGACAACAGAGTAAG
This sequence comes from Homo sapiens, assembly GCF_000001405.40. Taxonomy (NCBI): domain Eukaryota; kingdom Metazoa; phylum Chordata; class Mammalia; order Primates; family Hominidae; genus Homo; species Homo sapiens. Next base: position 118,394,935 of record NC_000004.12, read on the forward strand.
ACCCTGTCTCTATTTAAAAAAAAAAAAAAAAAAAAAAAAAGCAGCAGCAAACTTTTTTTCCCTGCGGGTGAGTTTTCTAAAAAATGTCAAAGACTCAATAGATTGTTTTGTTCAAAATATTGAAACTGAAACCTACTTTCCCTGTAACTATTTCTCTTATTATCCTTTTAAATTGAAAAGAAAGGCAATACAATAGTAAGAAATTGTTACAGTAAAGATAAAAGTTTTAAGGCACCCTCCTTCATTCTGTTCCAGAAGTACATAAAGGACTAAATGTTTCCCTTTGTGGACCACTGTAAGAGAGCTGGGATTCAAAGCCACTCATGCATCTAAAAAATTCCTGCTTCAAGGTTATTTGATATTTCCTTTTATGCCTTGGGTGGTAAAATTTCAACAATTACATGAATGTTAAAGTGATGTAGAACAAGATAAAATAATTTCTAAAACTGATACAAAAAAGAAGCGTGCTTAGTGACCTTGCATCTTTGAACTAAAGTGGAACAATAAAGGGCCTGGTCCCAGCAAATGCAAGCAGGAGAACCTCCTCCACCACCATTGAATGTTGATCTATGGAAAACACAGACAGAGGTTTGAAAGAGGCAGGCTGGAGACTCACTGTCTCATCGGAGCTGCTGTGGATTATTTTAGAATTTTCACTTTTTACAATTTCCCTCGGGGTTTCCCTAACTTTAATGCACTAAAGATTAAGCTGATTGTATCAGTGGCAAAACATTTCTTTATTTGTATAATTAAGTTACCAAATTTGGAGATTTTCAAAGAGCTATTGTCTTCATGCAGTCACATCTTTACTTGAGGCTTCCAGAAAACAGTATTTTCCTATTTTAAATTCCTGTGAGGTAGGCATATTACTATTCTGATTTTATGGAAGAGGCTTAGAGTGGGTCAGTGACTTGTCTAAGGTTCCATGGTAGGTGACAGAGACAGGATCTAACCCAGAACTTACTCTAAAACCCTTGGTGTCTTTACACCTAGGACTTGCTGCCTCACTTTGGATGCTTACACTTTTTCACCATTATAATCCAAGTTACAATCAAAATATTTTTAGTAACATGTTTGACTATTTATCCTTAGAAGAAATTCCTAGCAACAGAAGTATCATTCAGAAAGCCCTCACCTCTTACTACATCGAAAGAGATCAGAGCCTGGTTCAAATCTTGACCTCCAAAGCTAAGCTGCCTGTACTCAGAGCTTCACTAGCTGTACATCCTTGGATTAGTTAATTCATCTGAGTTCCCTATCTATATGATAGAGTTAATATTAATACTTAACTAGGATTATTGAGAAAACCAAATGAGATAATACATTTAAAGTCTGGCACATAGTTGGTTATAACTATGTCACCAAATTACCCTTGAGACAGTGATATGCATTTGCACTCCCTAATAGCAAGTGTTTTTATTATGTTAAGCCACTAAAATTTTGCATTTGAATTTACTTCTCTGGCTCATATGACCTCAGTTGTGCATGCCCAATTTCTGACCTGTTTCTGGTTCTTAGGTTCCTAACTCTTGTTCCAAAAAGCCTCCTTCTTTTAATGTTCTCAGAGCTAATCACTCTTTACCATTCTAAAACTACCACCCCCTGCCCATAGCCTTCCATCACAGTTGTACAGATTGTCTGCAATAAGGCTTTGAATGGTTTTCAGGCTTTTGATCAGTTTCTACCCTCTGAAGACCTTAGAGCAGTCTGCAGGATGTCTTCAGTTTTAGTCTTGTCACAGAGTTCACTGATTTCCCCAAATCATCGGTGACCTCCAAAGGTTCCGTCTGTAATCAGGTGTACTGGGCTTCATTCTGTATTTATCTGGCATTTATTTAGCATGTGTTTACTGAGTATCTCTTACGTGCTAGCACTGTGCTAAGTGTTGGGAATAGAGAATGAGGTAAGCACAGTCCCAGTCTTCCAGGAGCTTGCAGTGTAGTCTAACCATGTCCCCACCATTGTCTTTAACATGTCAATTAGCTGTAATTCTAGGGAAGGAAGCAATCTTTGGAGCACACAGACAATGCACCAGGATATAACGTTGCTCCTTGAGGCTCCAAAAGGAACCTGAATTCCATAAAGCCATTCCAGGCTAGAGGTGGAATGATAGGTTCACAGTAACATTCCTCTGTCCTCAACCTGTTTAAAAGCCTCCGACATTTCCTCACATTTCCAGAGGACTTCTCATTTGTTCTCGTGACCTCAGACATCTCACTGATTATATCTTGCCCTCTTCTTCTCCTCTGGGTTAGTGCCCTGAGGAAGCTATCCCTAAGCCCTTAAAGGAGAAGTCCGACTGTATTCCTGCTGAAGTTGTAGAAATCACTCTTCCATCACTTTATTGATAAACTCTGATATCTGGATTTCAAACAGTAATGAAATTAGGTTTTCATTTGCTGGTTCGTTGGTGGGAAGAGTTTTTCATATCCATTCACTGTCCTCTCTCCCCAGAACTTATATGTGGGTCTGTGTGGCTGGCATGAATCCCAGCTGGGAGCCCCACTCCACCTCACAATTCTCTCCCCTGGCAGGCCTCAGCAAGACCTTGAGATATGCCCAGACATGTCTGAGTTCTAGTGTGAGCCTAGTTTATTCTGAAACTAGGAACTTTGCTCTACATGTTTATAAAAATGACTGTACATTAACAACTTTATAAGAATAATTATACCAAACTTCTTAAAGGAATTGTGTTAGGTGTAGTGGTATTATGTGTGAAATTTGTCCTTATTTTCTACATTTTTTAATGTTGTGTCATGTAATTATGGCTTTTATCATGCAGAAAAAAATGTATAGCCATACCGAAGAAAGGCTTTGTGCTTCTGGAAAATCATGCCTTCTCTGGCAAGGCTTCAGCTGTTCTGGGCAGATGTGAGTCTGTATTCTAGGGTTGGAGCTGGCACAATATCAGTGATGCAGCCCATCTGTTACAGGTTGAGGTTTTGGATAGAACTCCAGTTGTTCTAGTGAGGAAAAGGAGTGCTAGACAGGGAAATAGAGGCAGAAAACCAATTTTACATGTTCTGGGCACATATCTGTGATGAAGGAAACCAGAATATTCCTCTCTAAAACACTGGGGATTGTTGAGCTAAAATTAAGGTTGAAAGGCAGGAGTACACTGTGCCCCTCCCCTCTGCCTTTCGCACCTGAAGATGGGGTCCTTTATCAGCTCAGAAACAGAACTCAGAGATACTGGTGCCAGAGGATTTAGGAGGAGACTTTCCTTTTCCCATAAATTTACCTTCCTACATTTTTTTGCCTTTTGGAAACCTGAACATACTCTTTTCTATTACATCATGTTTAGCCTGAAGCTGCCTCCCTACATATTTTAAGTTCAGCCTAAAGGTTTCTCTGTACATAGCGAACTATAACTTAAATGGAGGTGTACACAGACTAAAGCCTATGCTTGTGCAGTTACTGAGTTTTGGCCAAGGGGGCCAACTGTTGAAACCTTGTTCAATAAGGTAAATGCCAAGCTGTAACCAACCCAGCTGTTTCCTATTGCACTTCTGTTTTCTGTATGTCACTTTCCTTTTCTGTCTGTAAATCTTCTTCCACCACATGGTTGCACTGGAGTCTCCCTGGCTCAGGCTGCCTGATTTGCGAATTGTTCTTTGATCAATTAAACTCTGCCAAATTTAATTTGGCTAAGGTTTTTCTTTTAACATTTCTTTGTCTTGTCACTACATAGGATTTATGGGCCATTGTTAAAATACCATTTCAGCAGGCCCTTAAAACACTACCTTGAAAGATAAATGTTTGCCCTGAGGCCTCTTCCACGTAATGGGTACAAGTGTTAGTAAACTTCTGCTTATTTTTCTTTTGTTAATCTGACTTCAGGAGAGTGTCTCAACGAAGAACCTAAGAAAAAGAAAAGAAATTCTATTTTCTCCCCTACAATAGCATGCCAAGTACTAGGTCAATTAGCAAAAGAAGTAATTCCAACTCTCATCAGCCAGTGGGATGTATTTCTTGACTGGTTAAGAGTGGCTTGGGACTTGCGGGTGGTAACTTTTAGAGACTCTAGCCTGTGGGAAGAGTCTCATTTTCACTCTTGAATAAGAAGCCCTAGTTATTTCCTGATCACTTTAAAACTCAACCTGGTACACAGAGACAAAAGCACTGGGAAGCACAGTGTTTGCTGAGTTTCCCTGTCCTCTGAACATGTTTTAAGCCATCTTTCAACGATTTCTTTGTCAGAAAAAGTAATTTTTATTATTTTTTTGAAACAGGATTTTGTTTTATCACCCAGGCGGGAGTGCAGTGGCAGAATCACAGCTCACTACAGCCTCACCCTTCCAAGTTCAAGCGATCCTCCCACCTCAGCCTCCTGAGTAGCTGGGATTACAGGCGCGCACCACCACGCCAAGCTGATTTTTGTGTTTTTTTTGTTTTTTGTTTTGTTTTGTTTTGTTTTTTTTTTTGTAGAAATAGAGGCTTGCCATGTTGCCCAGGCTGTTCTCAAACTCCTGGGCTCAAGTGATCCTCCTGCCTCGGCCTCTCAAAGTGCTGGGATCAGGTATGAGCCACTGTGCCTGGCCCAGAAAAAAAATTCTTATTTACTCCAGTCTAATTTTTTTCATTTTAATGCCCCCTCTATTTACCTGTACTAGAACTTCAGAGAAGAAATAAGGATACTACTAGCAGCCTGTGCTAAATGTGGTAGTGGGATGACTTGATAATTTTACTATATTTTAGAATGATCCACAGTTACAGTGTTTTTAATATGTCTATTATCTCATTTATGTTGGAATAGGAAAGACTATACCAAACATCTTAAAGGGATTGTGTTGGGAGTAGTGGTATTATGTGTGAAATTTATCCTTCTTTTTTAAATTTTCTAATTTTATAAATTATTATCTAATTTATGTATTAAGCCTTTATCATTTATATCAATTTCTTTTTTTTTTTTTTTTTGTATTTATTGATCATTCTTGGGTGTTTCTCTGAGAGGGGGATTTGGCAGGGTCATAGGATAATAGTGGAGAGAAGGTCAGCAGATAAACACGAGAACAAAAGTCTCTAGTTTTCCTAGGCAGAGGTCCCTGCGGCCTTCTGCCCTGTTTGTTTGTCCCTGGGTACTTGAGATTAGGGAGTGGTGATGACTCTTAAGGGGCGTGCTGTCTTCAAGCATCTGTTTAACAAAGCACATCTTGCACCGCCCTTAATCCATTTAACCCTGAGTGGACACAGCACATGTTGAAGAGTAGCTATATATGTTAATTTCATATGAGTCATTTCATGTATTTCTTTTCTGTTTGTAACTTCCCCAGTCTATGCAGATTGTTTTAAAATTCTGAAAAATTAACATAATTATAAAGCAAAACCTAATTATTGCAGAAAAGTTAATAAATGCAGAACAACATTAACAATTTAAATAATTCATAATTCTACCACAATGGAAAATCATTTACATATTTGTGCATCATTCAGTTTAGTGTTTTTTTTTTCTTTTTTTTTTTAGGATGGAGCAATCCTTTATTTTCACACACTTTGACAAGGAGGTTTTCTGTAAACAACCTTTCCAGTGGAGAACAGAGAACATGAAATCAGCCCCTAGACATCAGCAGCTGCTCTGCTCAGGGCTGAGGCTCCCCCTTGCCCACATGGTGAGGTGGAGGGGTGCACTTCCTTTCCTTTATCAGCTTATCCTGCTGCTTCCTCATAGTACTCACATGTCTCATCGTTTTCTGCCTAAGTATACTCTCTGTGAAATCATCATATTCTATCTTGCACTCTTTCTCTGCCCAGATACTACCGATTCCATGTGCACTTTCTATCTATTCTTTTTCAAAAGCATGACATCGACCAGGAATCTTGTAGGGCTGTTCAGCACTTTGGATTGTCAACCATCGATCTACGTTAAGGCCGAACCTTTTCTGCACATCCAAGAAAGGCATGGCGATCTGATGCTTATGCCCTTGTCTCTTCTCTAATTTATGGTTTTTAAAAATCACAATATAATTACTGGATTTACTGGCTAAGCAAGGTTCAGCATGCTCGCCATGCTCATAACATTCTTCTAAGTGATTTCTTTCACCTAAATTACTCTCCTGCTACTGTATGACCTGCTTGTTGGCTAGATTTGTTTGGTCAGAATAGGTACTGCCCTCAAAAGTGAGGGGGTAGGCATAATAATGGTCCCTTCATAGATCTCCGCATCTGAATCCCTGGAACCTGTTAATATGTTATGTTACATGCAAAGGGGAATTAAGATTGCAGACAGAATGAAGGTTGCTGATCAGTTGACAGATTATCCTGGATTATCCAGGTAGATTCAATGTATCCACAAGATTCCTTAAAAGTGGAAGGGAGAGGCCAAAAATGAGAGTCAGAAAGAGATATGACGCTGAAAGCAGGGTCAGAGAGTTGCTGTGTTGCTGGCTTTGGAGTCAGAGAAGGGGAGCCACGAGTCAAGGGATGCAGGTGACCTCTGCAATTGAAAAGGCAAAGAAACAGATTTTCTCCTATGGCCTCCAGAAAGGAATGCTGCCCTGTTCACACCTCAATTTTAGCAGAGAGAGCCCCATGTGAAACTTCTGAACTACAGAATTGTAGTTGTTTTAAACCACTAAGTTTGTGGTAATTTGTTGCGGCAGTAATAGGAAACTGAATTCCTTCCTTCCTTCTACTCTCTCAAAAAGTAAGGGCTCCTCAATGCCGGGCACTGTATTAGGTGCTAGGGCATTATGCTAGATGCAAGAAACAGCAGTGAAGGAACTAACAGAAGGAAACAGAGCAGAGAAAAAAAGAATTAATGCCACCCTTAATTCCACAGTTTAGCAATCTATCGGAATAGCTGCAGCCTCTCTGCCTCTTGCTTTACTGTAAGAAGAGAGTTCTCTACATAGCTCACATTTCTTTACATCTTTTGAGAAGAAGCACCTGACTGCCTTTGTTCAAGACTGTATTTTCAAGGATGTTTCTAGGGCAGACATCAGAATATACAGAACAACAAGTAAAATATAGGCCAGAAAAAAATGACATTGATATGATGGCCAAAAAAAAAAAATAAATTTCACAATGGAATAGTTCATTTTATATGTATAAAAGCAAGTTAGGTGGGGCGCGGTAATCCTAGGACTTTGTGAGGTCAAGGTGGGTGGTTCACTTGAGGTCAGGAGCTTGAGACCAGTCTGGTCAACATGGTGAAACCCTGTCACTACTAAAAACACAAAAATTAGCCGGGCATGGTAGTGCATGCTTGTAATCCCAGCTACTTGGGATGCTGAAGTGGGAGGATTGCTTAAATCCAGGAAGTGTAGGTTGCAGTGAGCTGAGATCGCACCACTGCACTCCAGCCTGGGCAACAGAGCAAGACTCCATCTCAAAATAAATGAATAAATAAATAAAATAAATAAAAGCAAGTTAGATGAATTTAAAATCTTGATTATAAAATGTGAGAATAAGTTTAGTAAAGATAAAAATAGGAAAAACTAGAAATGTTAACTAAGCTATTGTATTAGTCTATTCTCATGCTGCTAATAAAAACATACCTGAGACTGGATAATTTATAAAGGAAAGAGGTTTAATTGACTCACAGTTCAGCATGGCTGGGGAGGCCTCAGGAAATTTGCAATCATGGCAGAAGGCCAAGGGAAAGCAAGGCACCTTCTTTACAAGGCAGCAGGAAGGAGAAATCCAAGCAGGGGAAATGGCAGACACTTATAAAACCATCACATCTGTGAGACTCACTCATTATTATGAGAGCAACATGGGGGAACCTCCCCCATGATTCAATTACCTCCACCAGGTTCTGCCCTTGACATGTGGGTATTATGGGGATTATAATTCAAGGTGAAATTTGGGTGGGGACACAGGGCCAAATCATATCAGAAAGTTGAGGAATTATCTGGTTTTTGGAGTTTGCTCTGAAAATACTTTCTGGTTGGAAAACCAAGTAGAATGCAAGTTTATATATTGTGATTATATTTCTATTTAATATTTCTTCAGAGCTAAAATATTGGCATTGAAATGGTGGGATCAAAACTGAAGAAGTAGGTGCTTTACAACAGCAAGAAAAATACCTAACTAAAATACTTGGGTAAAACTTTTGAAATGTCATACTGAAATTATGACTTCTCATGTATTTGATAAATTACTTTTAAACAAAGTAATTCCTGAAGCACTGAAAGAAGCAATGCCTTTGGTGTTTGACTATGTTTATTTATCTACTTTCAGATGTAAAATCTGTAAGTTTTCAGAGAAATAATCATTGAAATATATCAACTAATAAACATCTACTAAATAAAGCAGGAAAGAATTTTAGAGTGCTTTTTGTTTCTTTACATTGATTCCACAAGTGTGATCTTCATCTGATTTCCTTTTAAGTGTTCCTACATCAGTAAGTGAAATAAAATAGTTCAGAACATTTACTCGTTTATTTAAACAAAAGATTTGCAAATATAAAATTAAGCTTAAAAGGCATTTTTCCTTATTTATCCAGGAAATTTATGCATTCTTAAAATTTTCCCGATGATCATCGTAGGAGACAAAAGAAATAAAAAATCACATGAAGTTCTACCATCCCAAGATAAACACTATTATATTTTGCACATTTCCTTCTAGTTTTTTGGGATCATATACTTTATATGGCATCATATAGCAAAATACAATACACAGCCTGATTTTTCACTATAAAAGTAGTATATTCTATTGTACAAAATTTAGAAAAATTGTAACATAGATAAAAATTATTAAAATACATAATTGGGTTAATAACTTAAATCAAATTTACTATCAACTCTGAAAAGTTCGGTGGGTGGGTTCCAAGATGGCTGAATAGGAACAGCTCCAGTCTACAGCTCCCAACATGAGTGATGCATAAGACGGGTGATTTCTGCATTTCCAACTGAGGTACCGGGTTCATCTAACTGGGGCTTGTCAGACAGTGGGTGCAGGACAGTGGGTGCAGCGAACCAAGCATGAGCCGAAGCAGGGTGAGGCATCGCCTCACCCGGGAAGCACAAGGGGTCAGGGAATTCCCTTTCCTAGCCAAGCAAAGCTGTGACAGAAGGCACATGGAAAATTGGGTCACTCCCACCCTAATACTGCGCTTTTCCAATGGTCTTAGCAAACGGCACACCAAGAGATTATATCCCGTGCCTGGCTCAGAGGGTCCCACGCCCACCGAGCCTTGCTCATTGCTAGCACAGCAGTCTGAGCTCGAACTGCAAGGTGGCAGCGAGGCTGGGGGAGGGGTGACCACCATTGCTGAGGCTTGAGTAGGTAAACAAAGCAGCTGGGAAGCTCAAACTGGGTGGAGCCCACCACAGCTCAAGGAGGCCTGCCTGCCTCTGTAGACTCCACCTCTGAGGGCAGGGCATAGCCAAACAAAAGGGAGCAGAAACCTCTGCAGACTTAAATGTCTCTGTCAGACAGCTCTGAAGAGAGTAGTGGTTCTCCCAGCACAGAGTTTGAGATCTGAGAACAGACAGACTGCCTCCTTAAGTGGGTCCCTGACCCGCGAGTAGCCTAACTGGGAGGCACCCCCAGTAGGGGCAGACTGACACCTCACACAGCTGGGTAGCCCTCTGAGACAAAACTTCCAGAGGAGCAATCAGGAAGCAACATTTGCTGTTCAGCAATATTCACTGTTCTGCAGCCTCTGCTGCTGATACCCAGGCAAACGAGGTCTGGAGTGGCCAGCAAACTCTAACAGACCTACAGCTGACGATCCTGACTGTTAGAAAGAAAACAGCAAACAGAAAGGACATCCACACCAAAACCCCATCTGTACGTCACCATCATCAAAGACCAAAGGTAGATAAAACCACAAAGATGGGGAAAAGACAGAAAAGAGAAACTTAAAATTTTAAAAACCAGAGTGCCTCTCCTCCTCCAAAGGAATGCAGCTCCTCACCAGCAATGGAACAAAGCTGGATGGAGAATGACTTTGATGAGCTGAGAGAAGAAGGCTTCAGACTATCAAACTTCTCCAAGCTAAAGGAGGAGTTCGAACCCGTCGCAAAGAAGTTAAAAACCTTGAAAAAAGATTAGATGAATGGCTAACTAGAATAACCAATGCAGAGAAGTCCTTAAAGGACCTGATGGAGCTGAAAACCATGGCACGAGAACTATGTGATGAATGCATAAGCTTCAGTAGCTGATTCGATCAACTGGAAGAAAGGGTATCAGTGACTGAAGATCAAATGAATGAAATGAAGTGAGAAGAGAAGTTTAGAGAAAAAAGAATAAAAAGAAACGAACAAAGCCTCCAAGAAATATAGAACTATGTGAAAAGACCAAATCTACGTCTGATTGGTGTACCTGAAAGTGACAGGGAGAATGGAATCAAGTTGGAAAACACTCTGCAGGATATTATCCAGGAGAACTTCCCCAACCTAGCAAGGCAGGCCAACATTCAAATTCAGGAAATAAAGAGAACGCCACAAAGATACTCCTCGAGAAGAGCAACTCCAAGACACATAATTGTCAGATTCCCCAAAGTTGAAATGAAGGAAAAAATGTTAAGGGCAGCCAGAGAGAAAGGTTGGGTTACCCACAAAGGGAAGCCATCAGACTAACAGCTGATCTCTCGGCAGAAACTCTACAAGCCAGAAGAGAGTGGGGGGCCAATATTCAACATTCTTAAAGAAAAGAATTTTCAACCCAGAATTTCATATCCAGCCAAACTAAGCTTCATAAGTCAAGGAGAAATAAAATCCTTTACAGACAAGCAAATGCTGAGAGATTTTGTCACCACCAGGCCTGCCCTAAAAGAGCTCCTGAAGGAAGCACTAAACATGGAAAGGAACAATTGGTACCAGCCACTGCAAAAACATGCCAAATTGTAAAGACCATTGATGCTAGGAAGAAACTGCATCAACTAACGAGCAAAATAACCAGCTAACAAGATAATGACGGGATCAAATTCACACATAACAATATTAACCTTAAATGTAAATGGGCTAAATGCTCCAATTAAAAGACACAGACTGGCAAATTGGATAAAGAGTCAAGACCCATCAGTGTGCTGTATTCAGGAAACCCATCTCACGTGCAGAGACACACATAGGCTCAAAATAAAGAGATGGAGGAAGATCTACCAAACAAATGGAAAACAAAAAAAGGCAGGGTTGCAATCCTAGTCTCTGATAAAACAGACTTTAAACCAACAAAGATCAAAAGAGACAAAGAAGGCCATTATATAATGGTAAAGGGATCAATTCAACAAGAAGAGCTAACTATCCTAAATTTATATGCACCCAACACAGGAGCACCCAGATTCATAAAGCAAGTCCATAGAGACCTACAAAGAGATTTAGACTCCCACACAATAATAATGGGAGACTTTTAACACACCACTGTCAACATTAGACAGATCAACGAGACAGAAAGTTGACAAGGATATCCAGGAATTGAACTTAACTCTGCACCAAGTGGACCTAATAGATATCTACAGAACTCTCCACCCCAAATCAACAGAATATACATTCTTCTCAGCACCACATTGCACTTATTCCAAAATTGAACACATAGTTGGAAGTAAAGCACTCCTCCGCAAATGTAAAAGAACAGAAATTATAACAAACTGTCTCTCAGACCATAGTGCAATCAAACTAGAACTCAGGATTAAGAAACTCACTCAAAACCACTCAACTACATGGAAACTGAACAACCTGCTCCTGAATGACTACTAGGTACATAATGAAATGAAGGCAGAAATAAAGATGTTCTTTCAAACCAACAAGAACAAAGACACAATATACCAGAATCTCTGGGACATATTTAAAGCAGTGTGTACAGGGAAATTTATAGCACTAAATGCCCACAAGAGAAAGCATGAAAGATCTAAAATTGACACCCTAACATCACAATTTAAAAGAACTAGAGAAGCAAGAGCAAACACATTCAAAAGCTAGCAGAAGACAAGAAATAACTAAGATCAGAGCAGAACTGAAGGAGATAGAGACACAAAAAACCTTTCAAAAAGTCAATGAATCCAGGAGCTGGTTTTTTGAAAAGATCAACAAAATTGATAGACCACTAGCAAGGCTAATAAAGAAGAAAAGAGAGAAGAATCAAATAGACGCAATAAAAAATGATAAAGGGGATATCACCACCGATCCCACAGAAATACAAACTACCATCAGAGAATACTATAAACACCTCTATGCAAATAAACTAGAAAATCTAGAAGAAATGGATAAATTCCTCAACACATACACCCTCCCAAGACTAAACCAGGAAGAAGTTGAATCTCTGAATAGACCAATAACAGGCTCTGAAATTGAGGCAGTAATTAATAGCTTACCAACCAAAAAATAGTCCGGGACCAGATGGATTCACAGCCGAATTTTACCTGAGGTACAAGGAGGAGCTGGTACCATTCCTTCTGAAACTATTCCAATCAATAGAAAAAGACAGAATCCTCCCTAACTCATTTTATGAGGCCAGCATCATCCTGATATCAAAGGCTGACAGAGACACAACAAAAAAGAGAATTTTAGACCAATATCCCTGATGAACATCAATGCAAAAATTCTCAATAAAATACTGGCAAACTGAATCCAGCAGCACATCAAAAAGCTTATCCACCATGATCAAGTGGTCTTCATCCCTGGGATGCAAGGCTGGTTTAACATATGCAAATCAATAAACGTAATCCAGTATATAAACGGAACCAAAGACAAAAACCACATGATTATCTCAATAGATGCAGAAAAGGTCTTTGACAAAATTCAACAGCCCTTCATGCTAAAAACTCTCAGTAAGTTAGGTATTGAAGGAACATATTTCAAAATAATAAGAGCTATTTATTACAGTCCCACAGCCAATATCATACTGAATGGGCAAAAACTGGAAGCATTCCCTTTGAAAGCTGGTACAAGACAGGGATGCCCTCTCTCACCACTCCTATTCAACATAGTGTTGGAAGTTCTGGCCAGGGAAATCAGGCAGAAGAAAGAAATAAAGGGTATTCAATTAGGAAAAGAGGAAGTCAAATTGTCCCTGTTTGCAGATGACATGATTGTATATCTAGAAAACCCCATCATCTCAGCCCAAAATCTCCTTAAGCTGATAAGCAATTTCAGCAAAGTCTCAGGATACAAAATCAATGTGCAAAAATCACAAGCATTCTTATACACCAATAACAGACAAACTGAGAGCCAAATCATGAGTGAACTCCCATTCACAATTGCTTCAAAGAGAATAAAATACCTAGGAATCCAACTTACAAGGGATGTGAAGGACCTCTTCAAGGAGAACTACAAACTACTGCTCAATGAAATAAAAGAGGATACAAACAAATGGAAGAATATTCCATGCTCGTGGGTAGGAAGAATCAATATCGTGAAAATGGCCATACTGCCCAAGGTAATTTATAGATTCAATGCCATCCCCACCAAGCTACCAATGACTTTCTTCACAGAATTGGAAAAAACTACTTTAAAGTTCACATGGAACCAAAAAAGAGCCCGCATCACCAAGTCAATCCTAAGCCAAAAGAACAAAGCTGGAGGCATCACACTATCTGACTTCAAACTATACTACAAGGCTACAGTAACCAAAACAGCATGGTACTGGTACCAAAACAGAGATATAGACCAATGGAACAGAACAGAGCCCTCAGAAATAATGCCACATATCTACAACTATCTGATCTTTGACAAACCTGACAAAAACAAGCAATGGGGAAAGGATTCCCTATTTAATAAATGGTGCTGGGAAAATTGGCTAGCCATATGTAGAAAGCTGAAACTGGATCCCTTCCTTACACCTTATACAAAAATTAATTCAAGATGGATTAAAGACTTACATGTTAGACCTAAAACCATAAAAACCCTAGAAGAAAACCTAGGCAATACCATTCAGGACACAGGCATGGGCAAGCACTTCATGTCTAAAACACCAAAAGCAATGGCAACAAAAGCCAAAATTGACAAATGGGATCTAATTAAACTCAAGAGTTTCTGCACAGCAAAAGAAACCACCATCAGAATGAACAGGCAACCTATAGAATGGGAGAAAATTTTTGCAACCTACTCATCTGACAAAGGGCTAATATCCAGAATCTACAATGAACTCAAACCAATTTACAAGAAAAAAACAAACAACCCCATCAAAAAGTGGGCAAAGGACATGAACAGACACTTCTCAAAAGAAGACATTTATGCAGCCAAAAAAGACATGAAAGAATGCTCATCATCACTGGCCATCAGAGAAATGCAAATCAAAACCACAGTGAGATACCATCTCACACCAGTTAGAATGGCAATCATTAAAAAGTCAGGAAACAACAGGTGCTGGAGAGGATGTGGAGAAATAGGAACACTTTTACACTGTTGGTAGGACTGTAAACTAGTTCAACCATTGTGGAAGTCGGTGTGGCGATTTCTCAGGGATCTAGAACTAGAAATACCATTTGACCCAGCTATCCCATTACTGGGTATATACCCAAAGGATTACAAATCATGCTGCTATAAAGACACATGCACACATGAGTTTATCGCGGCACTATTCACAATAGCAAAGTCTTGGAACCAACCCAAGTGTCCAACAATGATAGACTGGATTAAGAAAATGTTGCACATATACACCATGGAATACTATGCAGCCATAAAAAATGATGAGTTCATGTCCTTTGTCGGGACATGGATGAAGCTGGAAACTATCATTCTCAGCACACTATGGCAAGGAGAAAAAACCAAACACCACATGTTCTCACTCATGGGTGGGAATTGAACAATGAGAACACATGGACACAGGAAGGGGAACATCACACACTGGGGACTGTCGTGGGGTGGGGGGAGGGGGGAGGGATAGCATTAGGAGATATACCTAATGCTAAATGACGAGTTAATGGGTGCAGCACGCCAACATGGCACATGTATACATATGTAATAAACCTGCACGTTGTGCGCATGTACCCTAAAACTTAAAGTATAATAATAATAAAATTTTAAAAATAGCTATGCAGTGATTTGTGGTATATTGCTTGCATAACAATGAATAATAGGGAACATTTTACTGATAAATAAAAGGTTTTGTCAGTGAGTACATGCAATGAAATAATACCAGAAGAAAAAAACCTGATACTTTTTAAACTACTGCCTGACAGATTACATGAAACTAAATAAAAAACAAGCTTTTGTCAGGTTATTTGTGTTTTCCAGATTTACAGAGCCATTCTCTTTGAATATTAAATAACCATGGTTTTAAATTTCTACTCCTCTCCTAGACTGATTGCTGGAGGCAAATTAATTTCAGATTAATTTCCAACACTTCTGAGGGAGGAAAATACCTAAAGCAAGAATTTGTATTAATCACGTATCCATCTGTCTTCTACATAAGGCCATTCAAATCCTCCCAGAATCTGTTTTAAAACCAGTGCTTCCTTTTGTTGAGAACATTACTTAAATATTCCTCCCCAAATTAGGACACACATGCATTATCTGTGAGTCATACCGCTCTCAAATACACAGATTTCAGATTCCATCGTCATTATGAGTCCATACAATGCCCCTGTTTTATTTCATTATTCTTTCCCCTTTGTCCTATTCATTCTCATATACATCATCTTTCCCATCAGAGATATACACATTAATATATCCAATATGTTTCCTTAGGCATCTGAAAATACAGCCCTGAGATACAACATATGGTTGTTTTCTGTGTATATGTGTATTTTGAATATATAAAAATTGTTTTGTTCTATAGAATTAATTCCATATTTCCAAGATCCATCTACATTCCTACATATAAAAATGGTTAACTACTTCTTCCTGTATTTTATCCCATTGTGTGTACATGCTATGTATTCTGAGTAGCCATTTCCCTAGGGATGGACATGAAGCTGCCTCTAACTTCTTGCTAACACTAATAATGATAGGATACCACACTCCAAAATATCCCCTTAAGGATTTGTACACAATATAAACCCAGGTGAGGGAATGATAAGTATACAAATTATATGAATAATTAATTTCACTAGGTATTGTGAGTTACACTCCCATCAATAGTGCATGAGTTTTCTGATTTCTTGACATCCTAGCCAGCACTTAGTATTAGCTGACTTTGTAATTTTTAGCGATTCTTTGTTGACTTAATTTGAATTTCTCTGATTACAAGTGAAGTTGAACATCTCTTCATATACATTTTGGCTATTTAGAATTCCCTTCCCATGAATTGTCTATTTTAGTCCTTGTTCAATTTTTGAGTTTCCTTGTAGATTTTAGTAGTTCCTTATATGGTCTAAATGTTAATCACTTTTTAGTGTTACACTTTAAAAATATCTCCTGCTAATGTGTCTGCAACCAGCCTGTTAAGTTTGTCTATCATATCTTCTTTGTATAGAAATATTCAGTTTTAACATGATCACATCCATCAATTTCCACCACACACCCTTAAGGTTTGTACTTTTTGGGTCTTGTTTAAAAATCCTTTCCCATCCCAAGTTCACAAAGAAAGCTTCATGTATTTCACTCACTTCATAGTGTTGCCTTTCATAGTTAGGTTTATTTTTTTCCTATGTGTTGAGCCACATACTAAATAATGTGTCTTTCCTCTATGAGTTATGATGCTAATTTCTACTATATTCCTCATTCTCATATATAACATAGGCTTGTTTACTGGTTTCCTATTCTGTTATATCATTTTTTTTGTCCATTCCTATACTGGTATCATACTATTTTTATTGCTATGGTTTTATATGTCTTAATATATTCAACTAGACAAGTTCCCTCTCTTTGCTCTTCTTTTTAAAAAATTCATCTTATTTATTTGTGGTCTATTATTATTCTATGCACATTTTATAAGCTAATTAATTGCCTAGTTCTTCACAAAATCCTCATGAAATTTTCATTAAAATTGCATTGAATTTATAGATTTAGGGAGAATGATATTTTTACAGTATTCATTTGTCCCACTCATGAATGTGGTACTTTTTCCTTTTTACCTAGATCTTGTTTTATGTCCTTTAATAGAGCTTGAAAAACTCTGTTTTAAAGGATGGGTTCATTCATTAGTTTATATCCTATATACTTTGTAGTTTTTATTGCTGTTGTGAATGAAATTGCATTTTATACTAATTTCCAGTTGGTCACTGCTGATACGGAAGAATGTTACTGATTTTTATATGGAATTTAAATGAATTAATATACATAAAATATTTATAAAATGTCTTATATATGAATTAAGTAAATACTATATGTGTTCACTATTGTTTTGTTGTCTATCATAAATCTTGCATCTCCACAGCCCTTCTGAGCTCTCATATTAGTTCTAATAGTTTGTCTATCGATTCAATTGGGTCCTCTAGTATAAGATCTAATAATCTGCAAACTGTGAAAGGGTTGGGTCGTCCATTCTATCCAATCCTTATATTTCCCATTTTTTCGGAAGGAAAAAATACTGTGTTGACTGAGAACCCCTCACCATATTCAATGGAAGCCATGCAAGACTCTTTCTTGTCCCTAAAGATGATATGTCACAATTTTTTTTCCTAAGTTTGCTAATAGATATTTATTAAAAGCTTTTGTTAAGGCCAGGAGTGGTGGCTCATGCCTGTAATCCCAGCATTTTGGGAGGCCGAGGTGGGCGGATCACCTGAGGTCAGGAGTTCGAGACCAGCCTGACCAACATTGTGGAACCCCGTCTCAACTGAAAATACAAAAATTAGCCAAGAGTGGTGGCGGGTGCCTGTAGTTGCAGCTACTCTGGTGGCTGAGGCAGGAGAATCGCTTGAACCCAGGAGGTGGAGGTTGCAGTGAGCTGAGATCGCACCACTGTGCTCCAGCCTGGGCGACAGTGCGAGACTCCATCTCAAAAAAAAAAAAAAAAAAAAAAGCTTTTGTCAAATTAAAAAATTATCTTTAATTCATAGTTTTTTCTAACACTTTAAAATATCTCATAATTAGATGTTAAACATTATCAAATGGTCTTTCTCCATATGTTGAGTCATTTCCCCCCCTTTAGTCTACTAATGTGATAAATTATATTAATATCTTTTCTGGTGACGAACCTCCTTACATTTCTGGAATAAAATTTACATTGCCATATTTTATTAAAACATGGTTGAAATAAGCTAATATTTATTTAGAATTTCACATTTTTGCTCAAAAGTGAGCTAATAACTCACTTACGGCTAACAAGTAGCTAATAACTTTCTTTTCTTGTACTGTCCTAATCCAGTGGTTGTCTGAAGATTATAATTAACTTCTTAAAATGAGTTGAGAGTCGAAGACTTAAAATGAGTTGTGCAGCTGTCCTTCACTTTCTTTTTTCTGGAACACTTTGTATAAACTAGACTTAGCTCTTCTGGGAAAGTTTTGAAGAACCCATCTTTAAAACAATCTGATCCTGTAGATTATTTTTTCAATCTTGTTCCAACTGCTTTATAACATATAGAGACTGAAAGTAAAATCTACATGTTTTAGATTCTCTAGCAGTTAGGATTCTGAATGTAATTTAGGTTCTGTTAATAATATTCACTTGTGGGAGATTTTGATTCAAGATGGAATTATGTGGAAACAGGGTACAGTACATTTGGTTTTATAGTATAGATTGTGGCAGTGGCAGTGTGATACTAAAACCAGTACTGCTGGTGGCAAATTCCTGATCATAATAGTGGCTGCAGTTCTCTTAGTTGTTCAGTCCTGCTGGGTTTTGGAGATCATTCTTGGAAACTAAGTCAGAGTCTGTTACTTAAGTCTTTCTAGTACTTCTGTGATATATATACATTTCCTTTTAAAATTTATTTATTTGTTTATTTTCTTTTGAGACAGAGTCTCACTCTGTCGCCCAGGAGTGCAGTGGCACTGATCACAGCTCACTGCCACCTCCGCTCCACGGGCTCAAGCCATCCTCCCACATCAGTCCCCGAGCAGCTGGGCTACAGGCGCACACGAGCACACCTGCCTAACGTTTTGTGTGCATTTTTTGTAGAGGTGGGGTTTTGCCATGTTGCCCAGGTGGGTTTCAAACTCTTGAGCTCAAATGATCTGCTCTCTTAGGCCTCCCAAAACGCTGGAATTATAGGTATGAGCCACCATGCTGGGCCTCATACATTTCTTAATAAAGTATTTTCAGATTATAATAGCTAGAGTGGATTTGCTTAACTAGAATAAAGAACTTTGACCATAACAAACATTACCTGCACCAGAGGCCTGATGGGTGATTAGAAATCAATTTCATAGCTAACAGGCAATTCAAGTTTTCTACTTTCCAGGCAAATTATTCCTGGAAATTTGTTTCTTTTTTCATTGAAGTTTTTCAATATTATTGCTATATAGTTCATTATTATTTCTGAAATCACTACTATTTCTATAGGTGATTCTCTTTTGGGGGTTGAATTTTAATTTCTTAGTCTCTTATATTCTTTGTATTAATCAGGATGAGAGAGAGAGAGAGAGAGAGAGAGAGAAAGACAGAGAGAGAGAGAGTTTTTTTGCTTTATGTAGGCCCCAAGCTGATTGGATGGTGCCTGTCCACATTGAGGGCAGAACTTTCTTGCTTGGTCCCTGACTCACATGCCAGTATCCTCTGGAAACATCTGAGAGGAGACACACCAGAGGTAACACTTTACCAGTATTCTAAGTATTCCTTAATCCAGTCAAGCTGACACCTAAAATTAACCATCACAATTTGTTTGATCAACTTTGTCAGATACGTGTACATTTAAAAAATCTCTTCAAAGAAATAGGGTTTTGATTGTTAAATTATCTCTACTAATTTTTTCTTTACCATTTTATTGATTTTCTCTTACTTGTATAATCTTGTCTCATCTTGTTTCTATATATTTATTCCTTTGTTTCCTTTTCTAGCTCTTTGAGCTTTATATTTGCTTTATTTTTCTCAATCTTTCTTGTTTTTTGATAAATGTATTCATTCAGCCTAAAGAATTTTTTAATTTCCCCCTTTTAATCCAAGGGATGTTAATTACTTTCAATTCCTAGAGTTATGAGATTTTAAAAAATCCATCTTTTTAGTGTTTATTCTTTTCTTTTTTCGCGACAGAGTTTTGCTCTTGTCACCCAGGCTGGAATGCAATGGCACGATGTTGGCTCTCTACAACTTCTGCCTCCCGGGTTCAAGCGATTCTCCTGCCTCAGCCTCCTGAGTAGCTGAGATTACAGGCATGCAACACCACGCCCAGCTAATTCTTGTATTTTTAGTAGAGACGAGGTTTCACCATGTTGGCCAGGCTGATCTCAAACTCCTGACCTCAAGTGATCCACCTGCCTCGGCCTCCCAAAGTCCTGGTATTACAGGCGTGAGCCACTGTGCCCGGCTTTAGTGTTTATTCTTAATTAAATCCTATAATGATGAAATAACATAATCTCCATTTCATGAATTCTTTGAAATATATGAAGTTTCCTTTATGACTTCATTCATGGTGATTTTTGTGGCTGTTCCATATGTGTTTTGAAAAATATGTATTCTCTGTTAAGATTCTATATCTTCCTTTATTAATTTTAGTTTATTAATCAGATCATGTTATATAGTTTTGATTATATTTTTTGGTAGGCTTATTCCTTCAGTATTTAAGAGGGGTGGGTTAAAATCATTAACTTTAATTGACTTGTTGGATTCTTCCCATAGTTTTGTCCGCTGCCTCCTCTTATCACTCAGCAGTGGTATACTAAAGGATGGCATAATCTCTATTAGTCTCTTCAAGCCATTCCCAACATGTTATTCTTTGATATGGATTTTTTTTCAATCTTAATATAAAAAATTTATTGCTATGTTTCAGATTTCACAAAGCAACTAGGCTTTAAGACATTACTACATGTGAAATTTCCATGTAGTATTAAAAAGAAACCAGGGACCAGGTGCGGTAGCTCACGCCTGTAATCCTAGCACTTTGGGAGGCCGAGGCAGGCAGATCACCTGAGGTCAGGAGTTTGAGACCAGCCTGACCAACACGGTGAAAAGCCGTCTCTGCTAAAAATACAAAATTAGCTGAGTGTGGTGGCACATGCCTGTAATTCCCGCTACTCGGGAGGCTGAGGCAGAAGAATTGCTCAAACTTGGGAGGCAGAGGTTGCAGGGAGCCAAGATTGCGCCACTGCACTCTAGCCTGGGCATTAAGAACAAAATTCTGTCTCAAAAAAAAAGAAAGAAAGAAAAAAGAAACCAGGCACTCTCTAGACAAGCATTACTGAGCTGAGTAAGACCTCTTCTCTTATTCTAAAAACAGCAGCCCAAGATGCCATTAACTACCCTTTTGCACATCTTCCTTTTGATGATATAAGCATATTAGCAACAAACAATTATCTGAAATGAATATCAAAGTTTTAAAGGCATAAATCCCTTTCCAAATATATACTCTGTTTGCGACCAAATTTTCTTCATAATATTTCTACCAAAACATGAATAAATGCAAAATGCGAAACAACATGAATAAATGCACAGCAGAATGAATGCAGAAAAAGATGTATGAATCCAGCCACCTTTTATTAAGCTAGACATTAAACAGGTTTGAAAAAATGTAAAACAATGTTACTCTTCTTAAAAAAAAGCTATCTTTGGAAAATATAGTTTTTTAAATAAAATATACTGCTTATAACGTAATAGAATATTTACTTATTTTTAAATAAATTAGTAAGTATCTCAGTTTTTATCTTAATGATAGTTTTAATTTCTAATATGGTAAATAATGATTGATATAATCCACATAAACATAAATTAAGCTCTTTGAGGTCCTCAGTTTTTAAGAGGGTAAAGGTATCCTTGACCCAAATGTTTGAGAATCACTGAATTATTTCATTTCCTTTGAATTGCAATTGAGGAATCTCTGATACAGTGTGGTTAGATGACTCGATTCAAGTCAGAAAGCTAGTTCATTTTGATGACTTCAGAATTTTAAAAACCTATTTTATATTTGTAAACAAAAATTTTAATTTTATAAATTAAATTAAATGATTGATTTTGCTGAATTCTATTGCAGTATTATGGCTACTTATAGTAAAGTAATTATAAGGCTCTTTTGACATTTTAAAATCTTTGAAAAAACTCTACATAATGCATCCTATCAAACTATATTTATTGCAAGTCCCAGTTTCTTTGAGAAAGATGGATAGTATCCATTCAGAATCAGAACTATATCTTGGATAAGTTAGCAATCCTTTCTCCAGCTCTATTGCTTTGTTGAGTTCCACAGGGTCTTAAGTAAATGAATGCTAATATCAGAAGGTTTTTTTATTTCAAAATAAGGAATGTGTCTGCAATGCTCTATTTATATAATACATAAAACCATAAATTTTATAACTTTATAAGCTTATAAGGCATATTTCCCGGATTTTCTACTAAAGTTTTGAGGCTATCCTGAGATATTTAGGCATATTTCCCCGATTTTCTACTGAAGTTTTGAGGCTATCCTGAGATATTTAAGTGTCATATTCTAAAAACACAATTTAAAATGATTTGAGACAATTCTTCAGCCTAAATTCCAAGTTTGTCTTTAGATGTAACTGCAACACAATCCCCAAAATTAATTAGTCATATGCACTATAATCCCTCTAGTATCTCCAAGAATTTGGCATCCTTAGTGGCACAAAATTTTTGATGCCATCATGTAATGAGTGTGTTGCTCCACACCAATAGACACAAAAATCATACAGTACTTGCAATAAATAGAAACTGTTTTACATAGCATCTTGGTGAGGTAAGCTTGTATTAAATCCCTTTAACAAAACAAGAAACTAAGCTGTAGAGACCTGTTCAGGCTTGCCTAGGGTAAGTCATAGAATTACTGCTGAAGCTGAGGATACAAATTTACATAGTTTTTGGAGTTTGTGACTACACAATAATGGTATCCTCTTGCAGTTAGAATCAAGATATACTTGAGATATATTTTACTCTACATTATATTTGTGTACCTCAGGTAACATGAGTAAAGGACATGACTTAGCATGAGTTAATTTATTCAGAAACTAGAATTCTCTTACCTTTTTTCCTCTAATTAATTAGCGTGATTACAAATAGTTTCTTTTGAGGACATGTTTAATCTACCAGTAGCTGAATACTCAAAAGGAAATTTGCTTTTTGAAAAAGAAGTGTTCAATATTTAATAAATATTAACTGAGTGACCGCCATGTGCTTGGAGTTTGAGATGTAGGGCTGAACATGACAGGCAAGGTCACTGCTCGATAGCTGTAGCCTCCTGGAAGCACCGGTTTGACTTTTCTAGAAGCGAGGTTCCTGGATAAAGATGAATTTTTAAAAGCTGGAATGAATGAGCAGCAATAGCAGAAGGAGAAAAGTGAGTGAGGGCTCTCCAAGAAGCCATCTGGCAGGCTAAGGGTTCTGAGAGAAGCTCTGGTTTCAGAAGCAACTCAGGAATTACTTCTGTCATATTAGGATGGGATGGTAGGAGATTGGGAACTCTAGGGACTAGAAGTCATTTAATTTCCTGTCTACAATCCTTAGAAGAGGTTTTGAGACTTGCAACCTAGGACCTTAACTAATCATCTTCCCTCAGCATTGATAGAATTCTTTATTATACATGTTAATATCAGATTAGTCAGGATGGGCTAGATTATGCTGTGTTAACAGCCATTCTCTAAATCTCTGTGGCTCAACAGGGAGCTCTGCCTGTCATGGTCACTTGGGACCCAGGCTTTGGGTATAAGGCTACAGCACATGGAAAACGTATGACTGTCTCTCAGATTCTTAAAGTTTCTGCTGGAAGTGACATGTCATTCTGCTCACAGTTCATTGGCTAAATGAGTCACGTGGCTGTCTCTAACTTCAAGGATGGTATGAAATTCCAATCCTACCATGTTTCTAGAAGGAGAACCAGCCCTAATCACAATGCTACATGTTTATAGCTTGCCTCATAGAGTTTACTGTATTCTCCTGGTATAATTTTCTTACATGCTCAACTGGAGAGGAAGCTCTTAAATAGAAAAAAATCACAGTAAATTTCCTTTAAAAGATCTATTTTACAACTCTGGCATGATGGAGCACAATGGAGTCCTTAGTAATGGACTCCATCTCTTCCATCAGATAAAATCTTGATAACTGAAGTTAAAATTTGAATAATGAAACCAAAGGAAAAAAATTAAATGAATTTTAAGACAATTGAGATAAGAACAACTGTGGCGTCAGCATAATTCAATTTAATAATGTATTAAATATTTTGCAGAAAAGTGAAAAGAAATTGATAGCCAAATCAATGCAGCATTAAGCCACCATTTGGTCTAATTTCTTGCTGAATTGACAAAACAAAACACCAGTTTAGTTATATAAACATGGCTGATGTTTATACAAACAACAGAATTTGCCGGTAGCATTATCACTGGAAAATAAGATGTGTGCTTAATTCTTGTATGTTCTGAGCCCATCTAGGAAGAACATAAAAGACGAAGAACAAAGCAATCACAGGATGTTATCATGAAAATATCACCTTTGGCTGGAGTAAAGTTTTGGCTAAATGTGGCACTAGTATTTATTACAGCTCACCTTTTTATAATGAAAGGCTATGGACTGAACATTCTTATTATTTCCCATTTTCTTACCACTCTATCCCAACACACATGCACATGCATGCACACGCGCACACACACTGGCACCCACACCCATGCATGTGGGACACACAGAGCAGCCCAGGCAATTTCAATTGTTGGGAGCTTTGCTTTTATTAGGTATTAGTCTACGGACTTGCTTTCTCTTTAGAGAGACTAAGTGAAACCAAACTCATTTCCACCCAGTTAGCCTGCTGGAACCTGTAACAGTTACTGTAATGTTAAAAGCAGTAAAACAAAATAAAAACCAGTCAGTTCACTTACTCCTGAAGTCCGCAGTTTGGTGTTCAGCTTTAAAACATATGCTCTGGGTGTCCTGTGGTGGCTACCAGAGGCTTTGGTGAGTCATTGTCAACCCAGTGGCTAGAGAAGGGCTGGAATGCCCCTCTTAAATACAGAGCCACGTTTGTCCTTCAGAATGGCTGCTCGAACGAATTTATTGCTCAACTCGAAAGGCCGTTTTTTATAACCCACTGCAGTTGTGCTTCATGGGTTTCTCCACCTATCCTGTAAAGTGTATTGGGAAATTAATTTTGTAGATTTCCTCACACTGCAGTGACTAGGGAAATCACCCATTCGTTATTATCTAATGAGGAAAAAGTGGAAACATCTAGAAGCACTGCTCCCATCCTCCTCCCCAGCCCACACAGACACCTACCTCAGGCCCTCCCTGTCCCAGGTGAGCAGAGGGCCCCACCTTCGGAGGTTGCCTCCCTTCCACCTTCACCAATCCTATGACCAGATTATCCCCAAGGAAATGTCAATTTCCAGGCAGCAAGGGAATCATATAAAGATAAGATCATTGAGAGATTTTTTTCCTCCGTGATTGGCAGTTTATATTTTCTTGGGTCTACAAATCTGACAGCATTTATTAAATTTTCTAGTTTGATACTGACCTCTGTCTGATGCTGGGCTGTCACCATGCCCAAGACTGAGGGGACCCACAGTCTAGCTAGAAGGCATGGATCAATTCCAACTGTCCTACCCCTAGCCTGTGGGCAGGAGAAAGCTCTCAGGCTCTGGCACAGGAGTCCCAGGGGCAGGATGCATGATCTTCCACTGTGCCTCCCAGCCATGCTGAGCAGCAAAGCAGACCATGAGCCGGTCTCCCTTAAATTCATTTGCTTGATTTGTCCTTGAGTGTCCTTGGATGGGTTTGTTCCCTCCTTGTCCAGTATGTCTTGGTCATCCTGATTCCTGGGCTTGGCTCCCAGGTTGATTCTTTCCCTGACACAAAACAGGCACTATGGGCAAAGACACCTGCAGCCTTGGAGAGACCAGAGATGCTGGATGTTTCCTGTTAGCACTCAGGAAAGCTCAGAGCCTTTGATGAGCATCTTTTGATCCATTAGTTAAAACCACGCTGGGTTCTTTATAGTGGTTAGTTAGCTCTGGGCTATGGGATTGTGGAAGACATTCATTTCTTCTTTGGATTCACCTGGATTTTCTGCAACGGACATGTATCGATAAAATACATGGTGCTTTTCAGAAATTGCCCCATCATCATGTTGCTGTTGTTGTTATTGATATTGTTGTTTCTGATGGATAGAGATCTAGGCCTGACACTCCAAGCAGTGTGAACAGCATTTACCTTGATAAGCATTCTTACATCTTAACCCTCGGGAATTTTAAATAGAAGTGTTCTGTGTGATTAAATTAACAGGTTTAGAGATGGGTGTCCTGGTTATTTCCTTTGTTCTCCTCCTGGTAGCTGCCTGCACTCACAGCATGTTGGGAATGGTGATTATAAATGTAACCATGCTCTCTTCTTGTAACTGGAGAGCCCAGGTACCTCTTATCCAGCATGTGACCCTCTTTCTACCTCAGGATAGTCATACTCTTAGGCTTCCTGGATTTATTCAGGGCCAAAGGAGTGGTCAAGGTCCTTTTTGTTTTGCCCTATTCCCTTTGGAAAACATTTAGTTTATGCCCATGTTACAGATTGCAAAATACAGGCACATATTCTCTCTAATGTGGTCTGCATGTCCCTTTGCAAGGACATGCAATGTGACTTCACTACTCCTTTCATCAAGAAAAGGAGCCTCTTGGCCGGGCACGGTGGCTCACGCCTGTAATCCCAGCACTTTGAGAGGCCAAGGCCGGCGGATCACGAGGTCAGGAGTTGGAGACTATCCTGGCTAACACAGTGAAACACAGTCTCTACTAAAAAATACAAAAAAAAAAAAAATTAGCAGGGCGTGGTGGCAGGTGCCTGTAGTCTCAGCTACTTGGGAGCCTGAGGCAGGAGAATGGCGTGAACCCAGGAGGCAGAGCTTGCAGTGAGCCTAGATCGCGCCACTGCACTCCAGCCTGGGCAACAGAGCGAGATTCTGACTCAAACAAAAAAAAAAAAAGAAAAGAAAAGGAGCCTCTTTACCCTAATCTGGGCAAGCCTTGCAACCTGATTTGCCAAAAAAAATATGAAAGAAGCAATGTGATGTGATTTTCCAGGCTAGAATGTAAGAAGCCTTGGAGCTTCTGCTTTTACTGTCTTCAGATGCTGCCTGAAACCACTGTAAGAAGCTCTAACCTACTGGAGGATAAGGGGTGAGCCCAAGAGCATCAAGGCTCCCATCAACAGCCAGTCCTGTGAGTGAGGCCATCTTGGACCTGCCAGCTCAGTAAACCCTTTTGCTGAACACAGCCCAAGGAAGGAACCCTTGCAAAATGAAATCATGTGGTCAGTTTGCGGGGTGGTTATTACACAGCAGTAGATGATTGAAAAGGCCCAGTGTCTTCCTGGGGACTGAAACACCCACCTCCTGTTCATGTTGATACACGGTGAGCAGAATATGGATGTGGGAGTGGTGTTGGTTGCAGGTGAGGTAGAGAAGCAGTAAACAGAACACGAAGACCTGATGTTCCAGGGTCGGGAGTTTAGACTTGATCCTAACAGCGGCCATAGGCAGATTTAGGCAAGAGAGTAACGTGGTCAGATTTTCATTTTAGAAAGTTACTTTGACATCCATGTGGAGAATGAACTTGAAGGTCACAAGGCTGATGGAGCCAGGAAGACCATTTGGGAAGTGATTGTAGTAATCTACTTAAGAGTTCATTACGAGCTGGGGAATGGGGAGGTGTTAGAGAAGAGAAAATGGATTTGAAGAGCTGAGGGATGTTAAAAAGGCAAAACTGGGCCAGGGATGGTGGCTCACGCCTGTAATCCCAGCACTTTGGGAGGCCAAGGTGGGCAGATCATGAGGTCAAGAGATTGAGATCATCTGGGCCAATATGGTGAAATCCCCTCTCTACTAAAAATACAAAAATTATCTGGATGTAGTGGCACACACCTGAAATCCCAGCTACTTGGGAAGCTGAGGCAGGAGAATCGCTTGAACCCAGGCAGCAGAGGTTGCAGTAAGCTGAGATTGCACCACCGCACACCAGCCTGGTGACAGAGCAAGACTCCGTCTAAAAAAAAAAAAAAAAAAAAAAAAAAAAGGAAAATTGTTGGGACTTGTAATTAATTGGGTGAGGAAACTGAGTGGCAAATGGTCTCAGCTCTACACATAGAGAGCCCTGGGGACATAGGGAGAGCACATTTGGAAGGAAAGATGATGATTTTAGTTCTTAAAATTTTGTTTGTGGAGGAGGCATTCAGACAGAGAATTCTGTTGGGAAGTTTTATGTAGAGAACTACATCTAAAGAGGTCAGAAGTGAACTTCAATAAAATTGAGGTGACCAATGATCATCAGTTTTAAAGAGGACATATTTTCTTTTTCTGTTAAAGGGAACACACTTATGAGTCAGAAAGCCAGACTTTTATTTTTTCTCGCCAAAGGTTATTGTACAACCTACAGAAGAGAGTGTAAACACTGGTCTTTAAGATGAATTGTAAAGCTCTAAAGAGAATAAGAAAAATTGTGTTTCATGATTTATGATGGATAACATTTTAGAGTTGATTTCATAAGAGAATTCATTAAGCCAATAGACAACCATGGCATTTTAACTGTAGTGTTTAAGTATCTTTAGCTCTGATTTTTTAATTAGCAGAAGCAAATAAAGAGAGCTTCGTTTTAACCATGAGAAATCTCTCTTCTGTACTTCATGTGACTAAATTTGTCCAGATGCTGCTGTTCAAATAATCACAGCGATTGCCAACATAATGGTTAATTTCCTGAGAAGTAAGTTCATGCTTTGCCTCAGTTTGCTCCCCTGTAAGATCAGACAGCAAAATAAGAATAAAACCGACTAATAGGTATTGATTGCCTCTGGAACAGCTATCAATATAAAGAGCCAGACAAAACACATAATAAAGAATTGTGTTAGTGCCAGAGAGACTTTAGAGATCATTTGCCCATCTCTTTACCTTCTCCCACTTCTTTCTGTCCCTCCACCCCCCCAGCTCTGATACAGACACACGGGATATTAGTAAAGGATAGTATTTGTTGAGAGCCTTTTGCGTGTCAGGCACTGCTTCTAAACGTTGTATAATACCAGCTCATTCAATCTTCAAATCAATGCTATGCAGTAGGTACTCTTCTTCTTTTTTCTTTTTTAATTTTACAGCTGAGGGACTTAGGTATGGAGAGGTTAGGTAACTTGTTCAAGGACACCAAGCCAGTCAGGGTGCCACTGGACCTAAGACAAGGTAACCTGGCTCTGAGACCAACCCCACAGAGAAGTATGTGGATGCTGACAACACTGTAGGAAGTTACAAGGAGCAAAAGAATAGCAGCCTCAGCCCTGAATTCCACTGTAAGCTTCCCTCTAATCTTCCCTGCCTCACTCTCAATCAAATAAAGAGCTGATCAGGAAGCAACTATGCACGGTCTTCCCCTCCACACCTCCAGCCCCAGCTCCCTTCCCCAGACTCAGTGCCTGCCAGCCTGTGCCAGCCCCCAAGATGGCAGTGTGGAGCCATGCACCAGGTCTGCCGCGCACCCAGCAGTCGGCTGTGGGTTCTTTGTATCTGTCAGAGTCCTGGCAGGAAATGGTTTCATTCTCAAAGGGTTAACTAGGAAGAATTTAGTGAAGGGTCTGTTTACAAGGTTTAGGAACTAACTGAAAATGGTGAAGCACCCAGGGACTGGCACTGGAGCTTCCCCACGGGAGCTGAGGCCAGAGAAGTATACATCCATTGTTGTTTTAAAGAGTGGTTAACTATCTATTTGCTCTTATTTTCAACATTTCTGCTGGGGCCTTGCATTGAGCAAACTCAACTGTAATCTAGAGAGCAGGGACTCCTGAGTGGCACATTCAGTGGGAGTCAGCTTCCTAGGGAATCATTTATTTATTTATTATTTATTTATGAGACAGAGTCTCACTCTGTAGCCCAGGCTGAAGTGCAGTGGTGCGATCTTGGCTCACTGCAACCTCTGCCTCCCGGGTCCCTGTTCAAGCAATTCTCCTGCCTCAGCCTCCTGAGTAGCTGGGATTACAGGCACGTGCCACCATGCCCAGCTAATTTTTGTATTTTTAGTAGAGACGGGGTTTCACCTTGTTGGCCAAGCTGGTCTTGAACTCCTGACCTTGTGATCTGACTGCCTCGGACTCCCAAATTGCTGGGATTACGGGTGTGAGCCACTGAGCCCTGCCTTCCTAGGGAATCTTGTAGGAAGGACAAAGGTAGAGAATCTGTCTGATGGCAGAAGCAAATGAATGCCCATCACATGCACTTTCTTCCAACAGAGCAACTCGGATACTATGAAACAATGCTAAGTCAGTCTCAGTGTCTGTTGCAGTAATATTGTACATACTGTAGGTCTTAATCATAGGAAATTACATGCCCATTGCCCTGTGCGCAGACCGGAGCGCACTTATGGGGGGCCCGTAGTCCTCCTTTCAGACATCTTTTGTTTCTCTGCCCAAACAAGTGGCCTTCCCATAGAAGACTGCCCAGAGAACCCTATGGCAACCCTACCCTCTTATTCCACTTTATTTTTCTTCAAAGTGTTTATTACTCCCTGTTGTTATGTTAGACTCTATATTTCTGTATTTGCTGTCCTCCAACTTGAAAAGAACCTCTGAGAGGGGAGGGACTTTCCTGGTCACATTCACTTGTCCCAGCACCTATGATGGTGCCTGACATATCTCAGGGGCTCCTTAAATATGTATTGCTTGACAATGGGTATCATGGCTCAGCCTCCTCTGGGGTTAGGAGGCTGGAGGAAAGAAACTTTAGCATGAGTGCAGTGAGAGTAAAAGAATTCAGCAGCTCTAATCAGGGAATGAATCTGGTGTGTAATAGGATCTCAAGGCTTGACTCCTAGTCTAAGACCATTTCTGGAGTTTGCTGACTTGATCCCCATGCTTCATCATTAGCACTTTGCAGGGAAGGAGCTGAGCATGGATCTTGACTCTGAATTGGCTGGGGCATGCAAAATCGGGGGAATGCTTGGTGTTGCCCAGGCTCAGCTCTGCCTAGACACATGTGAGGGCCAAGATCTGGTTTGTGTTTCATGAGCTCTCCCAGGATGAAGACCCAGCCAGGCTGTCTGAAGAAGGGGTGTTCTTGAGTAGGAGGGAAGGTCTGCTCCAATATGAAAAATCTAACAATAGCATAGTCCTTAAGAGCTTGAGCTTTGAAGAGGGAGAACAGACCCATTTAAGGCACGAAAAATAAAGGAATCTCTTGAGTACCTCCAAGGAAAATTCCAGCCACCTGGCTAGCCTCAAGAAGTAGATGAGCACCCTGATAAGTAAGAAGGTAATAATAGCTTAAAACAACAGTCAAGAAAATTAGAGCCACAAACTAATCTTAAATGACGAGTTAATGGGTGCAGCACACCAACATGGTACATGTATACATACGTAACAGAACTGCACGTTGTGCACATGTACCCTAAAACTTAAAGTATAATTTAAAAAAAAGAAAATTAGAGCCACAAAATGTTTGTTTCCCTATAGAAACTAGAGATAACATCTTAACATATGTCCCTGAGTTGTTTTGTAGAAACCCAGACCCCGCTAAATGGAAAATACCACCTGTTGGCTCGTAGATCTCAGATAAGGAGGAACTGAGGACTGAACTCTCACAACTGTTCTTTGTTCTCAATTTCTTCCTGAGGGACCTGGAGGAAGTCACACCCACAGGCCAGAGCAGAACATTCCTTTCTGCTGACCCCAAGTTTGTAGCCAAAACTTAACCAATCACAAATCAGAAAATCTTTGGGTTTTTGTTTGTTTGTTTGAGACAGAGTCTCACTCTGCTGCCCAGGCTGGAGTGCAGTGGCACGATCTCAGCTCACTGAACCCTCTGCCTCCCAGGTTCAAACGATTCTCATGCCTCAGCCTCCTGAGTAGCTGGGATTACAGGTGCACACCACCACGCCCAGATAATTTTTGTATTTTTAGTAGAGATGGTGTTTTGCCATGTTGGTCTGGCTGGTCTCAAACTCCTGGCCTCAAGTTATCCACCCACCTTGGCCTCCCAAAGCTCTGAGATTACAGGTGTGAACCACTGCACCTGGTCTCAAATCAGAAAATCTTTGAATTCATCTAATGGTCACCTATCCTGTGGGCCCTCACTTCGAGATATTTTGCCTTTTTTGGCCAAACCAATATGTAGCCTCCATGTATTGTATGACCTTGCCTGCAACCTCTGCCTTCCCACCTTTAAAAACCCTTACACATAAACCATCAGGGAGATTAGGCCTTAAGGATTAGCTGCCTGATACTCCTTGCTTGCTGCCTGCAATAAATTCCTCAACTTCTGTCTCAGCAATGCCGATATCAGTGCTTGACTTTGATAGGCTGGGTGGGTGGACCCAAATTTGGTTTGGTGACCCTTTGAGCTTAGATTCAAAATTCTAGTTTTGTCACTCTGCAGTTTTGTGATCTTGAGCAAGTTACTTAACCTCTCTGAGCCTTGTTTGTCATGTGTAATGAAAAGAGCTATACTTACCTTGTGAGGTAGTCCTCAGGATTCAATGAGATAATAAGTACTCACTAAACAAAACTCGTTATTACAAAAGAATCACTTTGTCTCTGAAGTGGGCAATTCAACCCATTTCTAGGAGATTTTAAACATGATTTTAGATATTTGGTGTGATTTTGTGAATGGGTTTATCGTTAATAGCTTTCATGCTCCAGAATTTTCTTGAATAATAGGTTTTTGCAAAGTGCATTCCATGGAATACTCATTTGGGTGACGTTAATAGACATCACTCAAAAGCTGGGTGAATATTACAATGTTTACTTCATCTGTAACAAGCTGAGTAGCTACAGTACATATCTAAGAGGGGGCTCTAATTCTCAATATTTTCCAAATTTATGAGATCACAGACTTTTCTTTTAGTGAAGTGCTTAATGAAACTTAAGTTCTGTGAAAAGTACTTTGAGAAATATTGCTTTAAAAAGAAAAAGATTGAGCCCTGTATCAGGGGAAATATCTAATATTATATTAAACAAAAAAGTCCCACTGAAGAAAATCATCTTATTGTTCATAGACCTTAGTTTAGGTATTGGGGCCAAAGGATGGATGACCATTTCAAATGATCCAGGCTAAGTCAGGAGGAGAGCTCAAAGTCTGATCTGGTGAGTAAGTTGTGAAGGGAA
The DNA here is from genome assembly GCF_000001405.40 of Homo sapiens. Lineage (NCBI taxonomy): Eukaryota > Metazoa > Chordata > Mammalia > Primates > Hominidae > Homo > Homo sapiens. The sequence continues at coordinate 118,427,905 of NC_000004.12, forward strand.
TATGATGAAAAAGTGCACTTCTATTGCAAAGAAATCATGAGCTAGGTTTATACGCTATGCTGTGAATGGCCAATAGATTATAAATTCAACAGTCTCCCTGTCACAGCTATGGTAATGACGACTGTTTAGGCCTTAGGGGAGCTTTAGGGAGAGGCAATTTCATACTTAAGTCACACTGACTTAAAAAGTGAAATATTTGAAATCATTGTTGAAATCACTTGGAGGTCGTCAGCAAGCGGGTGAGGTTGGAATGCCTATCATTTTCCTCAACCTCACGTCCTCTCATTTTCTTATTTGAAAATCTATTTGGCTCAGAAACTACACCTAGGGTTAGTCAAAAATCACCTCCTGATGTTCCTTTTAAAGGAAGCTTCCAAGTTATTTGAATAGCTTCCAAGTTATTCATCGAGAAACAAAGCAAATTCAAAGATTATGTCCGTAGGCACAAACTGGATGTTAAGAAATCCTGGCTGCATAAACAATTGTCTTATAGAAAAGAATTTCTGTTCCTCTTTTCCCTCCCCTTGTCAATCCTATTTGTCTCAGACCTGGGTTCAAACACTAGCTGTAGAGGCTATAAGCTACTGGAAGCACATTTGAGCCTGAAATAAACTGAACCTCTTTTGCCTTGGTTTTCTCACTTGTAAATGGGGATTTTTATGCCTACCTCAAAGGTACGTTGCAAGGATCGAGGGACAGAAAGTGCAGCAAGTGGCCAATGAATAGAAGTCTGGTTTTCTGAGCATCCTTGCAGCTGCAGGCTTCAGTCTACCAGAGAATGTGAGGTGTTATTCTTCTAGGGCAGTGGTTAGAAAAGAAAATGAAAGTAGCAATACTCTTTTCCTAATGCAACCATAGATGGATGACCAGAATTTGTAATCCATAAGGTAGAAGCTGCTGTGCCTGAGGAAATAGAAAGTGGGCAGAGGTGGAGGGGCAAGGTAGGGAGTGGAGTGGAAGGTAGGGAGAGTTTGATCCTAGCCTGCACTGCTCCTCAGAGGTACTTTAGCCCCTTTGGAACAGTATTAGAAAATCATGGCTCTATCAACTCATGTCTGAAAATCAATTGCTATTTCAGAGCAGGAGGTGACCAATCTTGGAAATAAGGAAGGGAGAGAGGCAGCCAAGCCAGCAGCTCCTAGGATTAGTCACTGCCTGGAGCCAGTTCTTGGAAGTTCCCCAGAAGCTGTCCAGTCTTATGTCATGTCTAGTCAGCAGAGTCCCAAAGAAGCTTGTCATTCTCTAGGCATTTGTGCTTACATTCTGATGGGCCTAATAGCAGGGAGATGACATGGAGCCCAGGCAGAACAGCTGAGATTTCTACTGGTCGTGACCTCCATCTTCTCCTTCATACCTTTCCTACCTTTCTTTTTCCATGCATTCAACAGACATTTATTACCCAATAAGTGCCAGGTAGTAAGCCAGGACCTGGGGAGAGCAGATGAGTAAGACACCGTCTCTGTCTCTCAGGAACTCTCAGATTCTTAGGGACACATGTACATCCTAATAAACACAGTAAATCTCATGAATGTGTAAGTTTAAATTATTGATATAGGCACACACAGACAGAGGGACTTCATTCTTTGCAGGTTCTATAGTATTTCATGCCCACTCTCCTTTCTTCCTTTGCTGCTCACATCATCCTTCCTTCAAGGAATTTGGGGGAATGGTAGACTGAAAGTGGCCCTTTCTGCATAATTCTTCTTGAAAATAAACATTTGCTCTCTTCTTAGAGGCTGACTATACTGAGAGCTACCACTCCTTGGCTGCTTATTAGCCATTGGGTTATTGCTAAGCCCTTTACATATGTTATATCATTTAATTGTATTGAATCTTCACCACAACACTTCAATGGAAATATTTTTCCAAATAAGGAAAGGTGAGAATCAAAGTAGTTGTATTAGTCTGCATTGCTATGAAGAACTACCTGAAACCGGGTAATTTATAAAGAAAAGAGGTGGGCTGGGCACGGTGGCTCATGCCTATAATCCTAGCACTTTGGGAGGCCAAGGTGGGCAGACCACGAGGTCGGGAGTTAGAGACCAGCCTGGCCAACATGGTGAAACCCCGTGTCTACTAAACACACACACACACACACACACAGATTAGTTGGGTGTGGTGGTGCACACCTGTAATCCTAGCTACTCAGGAGACTGAGGCAGGAGGATTGCTTGAACCCTGGAGGTGGAGGTTGCAGTGAGCCAAGATCACACCACTGCACTCCAGCCTGAGTGACAGAGCGAGACTCCATCTCAAAAAAAAAAAAAAAAAAAAAAAGAAAGATGTTTAATTGACTCTCAGTTCCACAGGCCATACAGGAAGCATGGCTTGGGAGGCCTCAGGAAACTGACAATCATGGCAGAAGGTGAAGGGGAAGGAGGCACGTCTTACTTGGCTGGAGAAGGAGGAAGAGAGCTAAAGCGGGAGTGCTGTACACTTTTAAACAACCAGATCTCATGAGCACTCTATGATGAGACAGCACTGGGGGATGGTGCTAAACCATGAGAAACCACCCCCATGATCCAATCACCTCCCATCAGGCTCCACATCCAACACTGGGGATTACAATTCAACATGAGATTTGGGTGGGGACACAGAGCCAAACCATGTCAGTAGCAAAGAGATTTTCCCACACAGCTAAAAAAAAAAAAAAAAAATGGAGAATCTGGATGTGTGCTTAGGTTTGTCTGATTCCCGGTACACTCCCCTATGCCATTTCTGATCTGCAAAGAACCTGATCCCAAAGCCTAATCCCAATATGATCCTAGAGCCAAGAGATGAGGCGTGAAGTAGCCACCTACTTTGTGTGCTTTCAAATCAGATATGGCAAGATTCTTTGAAAAATCAGTCAACTGGATTAAGCAATGCCTAAGTATGAAAGGATCCTTAGAGGAACTAAACCATTTCTTCATTTTGCTCCATGTTCTTTCTGTGGCTCTACCAAGTTTGTAGGTTAAGAGCAAGGCATCAAAACTTACTGAGTTTTTCTTCGACACTGAATTGACTCGTTGTCTCAAGAACAGGGAGTCATTGCCCTAGTCTCATCTCTTAACATTTACTTTTCTTTCTTTTGACTAATGGAGATGGTGCTCCCTGCTCTCTCTAGGAGACCGCAGGACCTAGATGATAACCTGCATCCCTAATCCTAAAGGGAGCCTAAGAGCAGTAATGATGGCCCTCTATTTGCAATAGATTACACTTTTCCCATATAAAGCTCTTAGAACTGTCACTGTGAATGATGTGCTGATTGGAGATAATGGTGACAATGATAATTTTATAATTGTACTTTGTACTTCTCATCTCCTCCTGGAATCACAAAAGAATTTGTACATATCCCTTACTCAAAATAGATCCATTAGTTAAACTATTATAAGATAAAAAGGCTACAGATAAAATGCTGCCCATTGAGGCCCAGAGGGGAGAGAGTCAAGTGGACTTAGAAATCCCCAGCCCGGTGCGGTGGCCCATGCTTGTAATCCCAGCACTTTGGGAGGCCAAGGCGGGCAGAATACCCTGAGGTCAGGAGTTTGAGACCAGCCTGGCCAACACGGTGAAACCCTGTCTCTACTAAAAATACAAAAATTAGCTGGGTGTGGTGGTGGGCGCCTGTAATCCCAGCTACTCGGGAGGCTGAGGCAGGAGAATCACTTGAACCCAGGAGGCGGAGGTTGCAGTGAGCAGAGATCATGCCACTGCACTCCAGCCTAGGCGATAGAGTGAGACTCTGTCTCAAAAAAAAAAAAAAAAAAAAAAAAAAAATCCCCATATCCCCATTCACTGTCCTTTTCTCCAGAAAATACTCCATTTCATATAACTGTCTAAACAACCGTTTAAGGTCTACACAAGATTGTGAAGTGAACCTGCAGGATTAGGAGGGTAAGGATTCCCACCTAGGTGGGCTCACTTGCTCTGCCATACCTGGGTAGGATCCCAGCCTGCTTCTGTGATTGTCAGGAGGCACCAAAAAGGCTACCCTAGGTTTTCTGTCATTCGGCCCAAACATTTCCTCTGCTGGGCAAATGTGGAAAAGAGGCATTAAGCTGGTGCTCCCACAACTGAAAGGAAAGCAATTCTCTTTCTGTTGTGGTTCCTTCCTCTTTGGACTCTTTTCTTCCATTCCAGCCTATCCCCTTCTTGGAAAAGCTGTTCTACCAATAGCAGGGAAGAAACAGCCCTGTGTACCTGATACGCTACCCTGGGCACAGGCGATTGGACCAGGGATAGACACCTGAACTGATCTGGGCAGATGCCCTCTTCTGGCCATTGAGAATTGACAGCATCAGACATCTAGAACATCATAGTATTTTAAAATTCTGCAGGGACATCCACCAGGCTGAGGGGGACCAATTTTGTTTTAAACATGTATCCTGAACTTGGCTGGGCATGGTGGCTCATGCCTGTAATCGCAGCACTTTGAGAGGCCAAGGTGGGCAGATCACTTGAGGTCAGGAGTTTGAGACCAGCCTGGCCAACATGGCGAAATCCTGTGTCTACTAAAAAATACAGAAATTAGCCAGGCGTGGTGGTGTGTACCTGTAATCCCAGCTGCTGGGAAGGCTGAGGCAGGAGAATTGCTTGGACCGGGGACGGGGAGGTTGCAGTGAGGTGAGATCATGCCACTGCATTCCAGCCTGGCCAACAAGAGCAAAATTCCATCTCAAAAAGAAAAGTATCCCAAACTTGGAAATCAAAATAGGATGACTGCACGTCTTTCTAATGCCATACTGGAAGGTTGCCTAACAAACCACCAAAGCTTTTTTTAACTCTCTAAGGGAATGTACTTTTGTTTGACTTACTATTTACTATTGATTAGGGCCCAGACTCTGCCAAGTTACATGTTAATTTTTGTCTGGTAGAGATACAAATGATTTTTGTCCTGTAAAAAGATTTTATTGCTCTACAGGACATTAATGAGTGAGGTTTCCAAATTAGCAAACTTATGTCAGCATGCTGTTTCTGATGGTCTATCCAAATCTTTCTCCTTCCAATTCTCTTTTCAAACAGCTTTACCATCTTCTGGTTCTTTCTTTTGTGAAGTGAACAGATCTTTATACACACTCCCTATAGACTTATATAAGAATCATGTTTTCACTTTTTGAAAATGATGCTTTGACAATTCCACTGAACAGGCTGGGGAAAATTTTATGAGAATTGTTGGATCCTGCTCACAAGCAAAAAGATAAAACCAGGCTATCCTCTATCATGGCTGATCTGGGGTTCATTCCCAGAAATGAGGGTCTTGGATCAGGGTCAAATATGTGGGTGGGGTGGGCTCAATTGCTGAGATACCCATCTCATGAGGAAGGATGGGACCCATATTATGGGAAACAAAACAGGAAGAATGAGAGTGAAAAGATTAATGCTTTCACTAAATTGGGAAAACAGGAGAAAGTGTTGTTGGATAAAGAAGGAACTTTAGCACAATGAGCAGAGACAAGACGGTAAATGTTCCTTATCCAGTAATCTCTGATGAAAGGCCAGTGCTCACATCATTAGTAATGTCCAGAACTAATAATATCAGTAGTAGCAATACTCACAATGTAAATAAGTAGCTCTCATGTTTTGATTGCCAATAGTGCTAGCAACCTTACATGTATCACTCTCTACCCCAGCCCTGTTAATTGGTACTATGATGAAGAAAGAGACTCAAAGAGAATAAATGACTCACTCGCGTATTTTTACACAGCTAGAATTGCTACAGAAAGGATTAAAGCCAAGTCTATCCAACTCCACAGTCTATGTCCCTCCCTCCCTCCCTCCCTCCCTCCCTCCCTCCCTCCCTCCCTCCCTTCCTTCCTTCCTTGCTCCTTCCTTCCCTCCCTTTCTGCCTCCCTCCCTCTCTCCCTCCCTCCCTCCCTATCTCAAACATCTATTGAGTGTCTACCATGTGCCAGGCACTGTGTCAGGCTCTTGGGATACAGCAATAAGCCAAGTCCTTGCTTTCAGTGAGTTTACATTCCAGTGAGAGGAACACAGAAACAAATGTATCTCTATGGCAGCAAGTGCTATGAAGAAAATCAGCTTCATTTTTATTGTTTCACGCCCATCATGCAGGTTTCCCACAGTCCATCATCCCCACTCCACCCCCCACCCAATGTAGTGCTTTCCTCTGTCCTGGAGAATCGGAAGGACCTCACAGCAACATCTGCAGTCCCTTTGTTTCAGTGACTTTGGCACAGAGAAGCGGACACAGTGGCAGACAAAGCTGCTGGAAGCTGTCAGGCTACTGGCAGCCAAAAGCTTAATCACACGTTCCAAAGGCAGTGTGTGTGTGATGTTGCATCTCTGGCCCTGGAAGGGAGACAGAGGTCACCTTCCTGGGAGTCAGAGTTGGCCCCTCAGCTCCCAGGGGTGCAGCTGAGCAGCTTCAGAGGACTGACTGCAGAGACCAGGAAGGGGCCATTCACTCTGATGGGAATTGGGAATCACTGATGCTCGAGCAGGAGCTGAGTTAAAATTCATGCTAAGAAATCAGCATTCACATGTGTACATATTTAAGTCAGGATCTCAGTGAAGAGGGCATGACAGCAGTGAAAACAGGTGCCAGACCTGAAGTAGGCTACCTTATGGTTGCTGCTTCACCTGTTGCTCTACACACACACACACACACACACACACACACACGATTCCAGAAGATAGTGGGACAGTAGCAATTTGAAGGCTCTGCCTGAAAAGCATTTGCTTAAAGTGTTGGGAATTTTTTGTTGGATTGTTGTTTCATTCATAGGGCTTCTAAATTTCACTTTTGCATTTTAACCATTTCAAGGAATTCCCCCTGATTTTGAGTGTGAATGGGTATAAAAGACCAGGGGTTGTTAACCAAAAGCCTGGAACATTCAGGTGAACAGCTGTTCTGCAGGGAAGGAGGGAAACAGCAGGGTGAGATGGACGGTCAACCTTCAAAGGCCTTACACAGTCCCGGCCAGGATAATCTTTGCCTCTCCCTTCTACTAGGGAAAAGTCTGGATTGCTAAGACCAGGGTCTCTATAGTGGCATCTCCAACACTCAGGCCCAGCTTCATGGCTGGGTTCCTGTTTTTTCATTTGCTCATGCCCCTCAGTGGTATCATCTGACTCAGCTCCTTTCCCTCCTGTTGGGCCAGTACTTGCAGTGGGTCTCCTGATGAAGCTGAGGTCATGGGTTCATGAGCCCAATTATCACCATGCTGACCGCACCACTAACCTGGCTCCGTGTAGTTGCAAACTTGGCTGCACATTGGAATTCCCAGGGAGAGTTTTAAACATCCCAACGACCAGGCTGCAATGAAATCAGACCGATGAAATCAGAATCTCAGGGGTGGAATGGGACTGGTAATTTACAGAATCTCTCCAGCTGATTCCATATTCAGACAAGTTAGAGCACCAATGCCCTCAGTCCTGAGAGTGAGGGCTGGTCTCATGAATCCATTCACACAGATGGAAGTGCATCCTCACAGGGGTCAGGCCTCACACAACATCGGGCATGTTGGTAGGCATATGCCTAAGTTTCTGTGCAATGAATGCATGCCTTACTGGTGATGCGTCAATAGCAAGGCATTCAGGGCAGAAAGTACCCTGCCTCTGTGCCTAGCATGAGACATGTATCCAGGATCATGTTTTTATTCCCATATTATGGATGAGAAAACTGAGGTTCAGAAAGGGTAGGCAAAATCCCCTAGCTCATCTGGCTGGAAGGGGGCAGAACTTCCCTGTACGTGCTGAGAACACCACTGTTCGAGCAGAGGGGAAACCTCTGCAAATTTCACTCTGTGTTCAGTGGGTGACTTGCCAAAGCCCTTTAGGGCCAATAAATTAGAGTGTTTGCATCAAATTTCCATGCACAAGAGCCAACTCAAAACCTTAGATCCAATTCCATTGGTTCTCATAGCTCTGAAGTGGACAGATGCTAGTAATAAATCCTACAGGCTGATGGCAGGACTTTGATATATAATATTAACTCTGATCTGCCCTTTGTGGTGGTCTGACTCAAGACAGAGGGAACATTAAAAGCAGTAGTAATCCTTTTAAAAGTTATATGCACTTTTGCCCAGATATCCAGGGTTTCTGGCTGAGTTAGGCTGCAGAAGCAATTGTGCAGATTAAGTGATGTTGAACCACGAGAAAGTGTCTTCCCACTTAGCAAATCAAGGGTCCATGGGATGGAGAGAAAGGAGGGAATAGAGTTTGTCACTTGGGCTGTACTGACCCCAGTAGTGATGTCTTCCCTTTGATGGGTGGTGTTGGGACAGCAAGGCAGTCATCATTTAGCCCACTAGTGCTAAGGCGGAAGGCATCCGCAGTGCGTGGTCTGGCATCCCCAGGCAAAGATGAGAGGATGGGCCCTGCAGAGTGCTTTGGGTTAGAAACAAGCTGAGTGAACTGAGTGTTTCTTCAGGGAGCGCACTACAGATGAGCCAACAAATCCACGACAGTGGGGAGTGAGGTGAGGCAGGGACACAAATCCACAGCTGACTCACCCAGCACATTCCCACCTCCTCAGCATAGAAAACCACAGGGACAAACTGACCAGAAGGCTATTCATCCATGGGTCTATCCCGTGCCTTGATCAGTCTTCCTAAATCCCACCTTTGCCAAAGTCACTCCAGTCTGTGAATTTTCCATGACTTCCTGATGCATATGGAAAGATGTTCAGACTCCCAATCTGAGGTCCAATGCTCTCCAGAATTCCATCTTTCCCTACCTTCCTGGAATCATTTCCCATTGACTTGCCATCTACCTGGGCAAGCTGGAATGGCTGCTTTGGCTGTCTTCTGAAAATGCCCTGAGGTGTCTCTGCCCCAGGCCTGTCTCCTCTGCCCCCAGAGCTGCCCAGGCCCCTGCTTCCTACAGAGACCAGCTCACAGTCTTCTTGTCAGTGGTCATCTAACAGTGGTCTTGTAAAAGCAGAGCAAGTTCCAATCTTATTTATAGCATTCAGCAGTTTTTTTTTTTTTTTTTTTTAGAGCTGGTGTCTTGCTCTGTTGCCCAAGTTTGAGTGCAATGGCTCAATCACAGCTTCACTGCAGCCTTGAACTCCTGGGCCCTAGTGATCCTCCTCTTTCAGCCTCCTGAGTAGCTGGGACCACAGGCATGCACCACCATGCCCACCTAAACACAGTCTACCTTTACGTGTGTGTGTCCATCCATCACCAGATGCTCACGGAAGGTAGGGCAGAAACATTTTGAAAAATAATTTTTACCTTTGAAGAGTAATCTTAATGATAACCTAGCAGGTGCTCAGATATATCAGGTCGATTCACTTCCTATGGCTGTGTAACAAATTACCACAAACTTGGTGATTTAGAGCAATGCCCATTTATTATCTCAGGGTTTCTATAGGTCAGAAGTTTGGGTGTTGCATGGCTGGATTGTCTGTTTAGGATCTCAGAGGGTTGAGATCGGGGTAGCCAGGGTTGCTTCTCATCTGGGGCTCCAAGTCCTCTTTGCAAGCTCACTGGTTGTCAGTAGAATTCAGTTCCTGTGGTTGTAGGACTGAGGTCCCCATATTCTTCTTGCTGTTTGTCAGTCTGGGGTGCTCCCAGCAACTCAAGGCCACTCTCAGGTTGTTGACACAGGGTGCCAACATCTATCTTCAAAACCAGTAGGAGGATTTCTCTTGCACTGAATCTCTTTTGCATCTCTGACATTCTCAGTCTCTGACCTCTAGATCCAGATTTAACGGGTTCACTTGATTCTGTCAGACCCACTCAGGACAATTATTTTCTTGTGCATCCCTTTTTCTGGGAAGTGGGTCCACCACTTCTATCAGGTTCTTAAAAGGGTCTGGGAATGTTCACCCATCACAGACATCCACACCAGGCCAGTTAAGTCAGAACTGCTGGAGATTCCACATTCTCCTGGGCAGCCTGGGTGGAGAACCACCTATGTGGAAGGAACACTGGGCTCCAAAGATAAGGGGCCTTGCATTTTATTTCATTACCAGTGTCTATTGGCTCTGAGACCTTACAGAAATCACTCAACTTCTCAGGGCCTCATTTGCAAACACGGATGATAATAGTAAGCTCCATCTCTCACGGTTGTTAGGAGGATTAAAAGTGTATAAAGATGCTCTGCAAGCTCTGAAGTATTAGCTAACCGTCTTGTCAGTGTGAAGAGACACTGAAAAGTGAGGTGGGACACAGAATTTTAAGTGAAGAAGAAGGGAGAAGCTTATCTTTATCAAAATTAAATATTAGATACTGAGTACTTTGTAAAGTCTGTTGCTGCTGGGGATCAGGCAAATTGTTATAACCTTCCTGGAAGGCAATTTCCCATAATTATCAGCAGTTTACAGAATATCCAAGCCATTTGACCCTAAGATAATGTTTCTAGGGATTTCTCTTAAGGATTTAATCAAGGACACATACACAGATTATAGCAGTTCAAAATTGGAACCCATCTAATTAACAATAAGGGATTGTTTAATTACACATGAAATATTATTTAAACATGAACATTATATTGCCTTTAAATATTTGACATGGAAAGAAGCTTAAAACTCAGTCCTATTTCCTTATCAATGTTCTATCAACAAGGGGCAGGAGGTGTCACCTCCTTGGGAATCAGAGTTGGCCCCTCAGGTAGGTGTTTGGAGCTTCCAGGTAGGGGCTGGGGACAAAGTGTGGATGGGGCACCTGCTGGACCTGTGGCGAGATCATCAGGGATTGCTATTGGTCTCAGCAAGGGAGTGAGGCTGACCAGTTCTCAGCTGCATTTCAGAGAAGGATGAAATGCCCTAATCAGAAGTCAGCTCCCTCATGACCCTGGAGGGAATTCTGCCCACTCACAGACTCTTTCTTATTCTGGGCCTCTGCTGTTATCTGGGTATTACTCCCTGTCACAGTCAGTTTGGGGACTGATCCTCCAGGAAAGTCCTGGGACCTCTCGGCAGGCTGAGTGCTTCTCCTTTGTGACTCCCCTGCCATGGCGGTTGTGCCCCTTCTTACCTTCTACAGACACGACTTTTCATGGGCCTCTTCCTTTCTCCCCACCGGTAAATCACCACCCTTCAAAGGCAGGAACTGTCTCTATTTCATCTTAGTATCCTGCGGGCCTGGCCCAGAGTAGATGCTCCAAAAAACTTGTCCTGAACTGAATGGGCATGAAGCCGGGGCCTGTTGCACTGTGTTGTTGTGGGGCGGGGTGACTTCCAACCGCACTGGGAGCCATCTCCCTCTCTCATTCTGAGAGAAGAGTCCGCAGCACAGATGGGCGCAACCCAATGTCAGGAGCTGACACTGTGATCAAAGAAAATCATTTCCATTGCTCCTGTAAATGAAGAGTCAAACTCAGTAAAATATTTGAAGAGATGTATTCTGAGCCAAATATGAGTGACCATGGCCCTTGCCATAGCCCTCAGGAGGTCCTGAGAACATGTGTCCAAGGTGGTCGGGGTACAGCTTGGTTTTATGCATTTTAGAAAGGCATGAGACATCGATCAAGTACATTTAAGAAATACACTGGTTTGGTCCAGAAAGGTGGGACCAAAACGGGAGGAGAGGGGCACTTCCAGGCTATAGGTAAATTTCAGTGAGTTTGTCTAAAGACCTGGGATCCATAGAAAGGAAATTTTCAAGTTAAGATAAAAGATGGTGGAGACCAAGGTTCTTTTGAAGTCTTATAGAGGCTGTCCTCAGAGACAATAGATGGCAAATGTTTCCTATTCAGATCACTAAAAGGTGCTAGACTTGGCCAGGCACGGTGGCTCACGCCTGTAATCCCAGCACTTTGGGAGGCCCAGGCCGGTGTGGATCACAAGGGCAGGAGTTTGAGACCATCCTGGCCAATGTGGTGAAACCTCATCTCTACTAAAAATATAAAAATTAGCTGTGTGTGGTGGCGGGCGTCTGTAGTCCCAGCTACTCAGGAGGCTGAAGCAGGAGAATCGCTTGAACCCGGGAGGCAGAGGTTGCAGTGAGCTGAGATCATGTCACTGCACTCCAGCCTGGGTGACAGAGTGAGACTCCGTCTCAAACAAAAAAAACAAAGTGCTAGACTTTCAGTTAATCTCTTTAGGATTGGGAGGGCCTGGAAGAAAAATATCTAGCTATGTTAATAGAGATTCTTTACAGATACAAATTTTCCCCCACAAAGGACAGCTTTGCAGGGCCATTTCAAGATATGGACAAAAAAGCCTATGTTTTGGGGTAAAATATTTTGATTTTCTTCCTTGTCTCATAATGTTATGAAAGAGTCAGGCTGGAAAGTAAGTCACAATATATAGGGTTAAATAAAATCCATCTGATGAGAATTTATGGTTTGTAGGGCATCACTCCCAGACCCTTTAGATAGGGAATTTGGGTAAGATAAAAAAAAAAAAAAATCAGAGCTTAGTCTTCACTTGCAAGGGTGCCCCTGTCTTCCTCCACTCTCCATCCCCAAGCTGGGCTGGGATTTCTTGAGCCAGATGAGTTGAAGATGCTGCAAAGTTAAAATGGCCTTGCTTTCCTGCGCAGTCAGGTGGAGCACCCCCTTCCCTCATCTGGGCCTGCTGAGCAGGGTCTCACTGATCCCCGCACTGTGTGTCCCTTAGACCTTTCCTGAGACCCAGCCCTTCCCCCAGTGGAAGGGAGAATTATTTGAAAAGTGTGGGGTTTGGTGTCAGACAGACTGGGACCCAGGTCTAGGCTACTGAACCAGTGAGCTGTGTGGCTTTGTGCATGCTATTTAGACACTCTGAGTTTTAATTTCCTAATTTCTAATTGCCAGACAGGTTGGTTGGGAGGAACAGCTTAGATTGACCTATGAAAGCATTTGTAGACTCGGAAGTGTTCACGTGGCACTTTGGATCAAATCGTTCCTGCTGCTTCAAACTACTGTGTGATGAGTTTCCAAAAATCATTGCCTGTGATCTGCAGGCTCGTTGTATGTCACAGATCACCAGATGTGCTTCCATTCCATGCTTGCTTCTGCAGTCCTGTTCTAAGCTCTGGCCTAATATTCTTCCCACCCACGGAGCTCTTGCCACTGCCTCACCGCAGAGACTGGAACCCTGTCCTTTAACTCCCAGCTCAGAGTGTAGGGAAGTGTTTCTCAAAGTATTCTCTGTGTTATCTGCTTCCAAATTGCCTGGATACTGGTTAAAAACCAAACCTCTGGTTCCCCTTCCAGACTTAAGGATGAGAATTGGCTGTGGGAATGAGTGGGAATCTACGCTGTTGTGAAGTTCCCCACGGGGATCTCCTGCATCTTAAGGCTCAAAGACCATGGACCTAGCCCCTGGATACTGGGCATAGGCATCTCAGATGCTGTCTGTTTCTTCACTTCCCTGACTGGCCTGGGCTCTGGGGTTGGGCCCTTCCCATTTCTGGATTTGTGATACTTGTCTTGTATCCCCTTTTATCATAGTGTGCTTTTGCTTACAAGTGAACAAAAACCCAATCCAAAATGATTTAAACAAAAAGAGCACTTATTGTAAAAGTTCAGAATAAACTGCCTTCAGGCATGGCTTGATCCAGGGGTGCACACTGTGTTACCAGGAGGCAGTTTCTCTCTGCCTCCTCACTTGGCTACATTTTTCTCTCACTTGTGCATCCTGAGCCATTCACAGAGCTCAGGAGGATGAGTGTTCTGATGGAGCAGGGTATGCTGGTGGTTAGTGCCATCAAAAACAGAATGAGATAATGATATGGCTCAGATGACTGGAGGAACACCAGGGTTCTTGGTCTAGCACACATTTGGATAAAATGACACGGATACACCTGGAGTGGTTTTAAGGAGCGAAAAGTTTAATATACAAGAAAGAAGGAAGGAAGAAGAAAACAGCTCCCCAGTACAGAGACAGAGGGAGAGGGGATTTGAACAGAGAGAAAACCCCGGTGGGGAGAAGGGATGTGGGGGGAGGGCGTGTGTGTGTGTGTGGTGTAATCAGCTAGTTATATGAGGAGGCTGGAGGAGGCGGTGCTGGCTTGCATAGGGCTCAGAGGATTGGTTTGACCAGGCATGTCATTCACATAGCCTGCGAAAAAGCTGGCCCTCACACTCTAGCCTTTTAAGATGCAAATGCAGGGCGCCATGATGTTCTACACACGTGGGGATATGTGGGGGCGGCCATGTTGCCAGCCACCTGTTGGGGCAAGGAAGAAACCTGGAATCTCCATGTTTGGGTGGACTCAGTTTCCAGTGACCTGCGTTTGCATATCAAAGCTTGCCAGTGGCTCTTAGAGCTGGCGCTCTCCTGTTAGACAAGAAAGGTTTCTGGATCTGCTTTAAAAGAAACAAAAACTTCCCAAGGACCTCTTTTCCTCTCTATCTGCCTAAAATAATTTCTTAATAACTCCTATAACAATAAGGGGGTGGTCCATTCCCACATGTAAATTGAGGCTTTTCCCAGAAATAGGGTGAATAGATGCTGAGTTACCCCAGTCAGCAAATGTCCATTTATCTCATTTGTGAACTCTGGACTCTGCACAGAAACTGTGGTGACACAGGCTGTCCTGTGACCCTGTGGCTGGGTCAGCTCCTGTGTCTACGACAGGATGCCCTGAGTCCCCATGGATTCCTCAACCCCACACCCTGTCCTACTCTTAGCCAAGTCAGCCATGCCCCTCTGAGGGCTACGCTGCTTCAATAGGCCTGGCTTCCTAAGTACCTTTCATTATCACCCGGGCTCATACCCCGAAGCAAAGCAGAAATTTCTTTTGAGATCCAGGGTGGGAAATGGTCAGTTGAATTGAGTTGCAACCGAAGATGAGGAAACATCTTTTATGAAAACCCATTTCCCTCTGTCGGAGGTGATTTCAGTCACTTTTTCCAAGCTCAGGATAATTTACCCCCTGCAGGGTGCACTGCAGAAAGTCTGGCTGGAAGGCCCTGAGCACAGGAGTTGATTGCTAGCTGCTAAGAGGCTGCGCTTTGTTCCCGAAGGAGAAAGCTGCAGGTTAAGAGAACATTCCCCACCTTGCCAGGGGTGACAAAGCAGGGGACTGCTTGAGGGCTGACACTGGAGTTAGAGATAATGAAAGGAGAGGAGCAAGAAGAAGCCAGGGCCTGGCTCGGCATCTCACCGCATTGGTGGGGAGAGGAGCTGTTCACCTTCTCGCACCTGTTGTTGGGCTGAGACAGATTTTCAGAGAGCAATGCCTCCTGGACAGAGGCTCTTCCCCACAGGGCAAATGTAATTAGATGAGAGAAAAACAAAGCTCTGAAACCCTAATTAGGTGCAAAGCCCTCAGGCTTTATACATCTAAACAGCTAAGGAACAGAGGATAAGATTCTCCAGTCGGCACTCCCTTGCCAGTCCTGGCTGAGCTAATGGTGAAGTGAGAGCTGTGCCACAGATCCCATGGTTGGCTTTTTGCTGTTGTTGTTATTTCAGATGGAGTTTCACTCGCCACCCAGGCTGGAGTGCAGTGGTGCAATCTTGGCTCACCACAATCTCCGCCTCCTGGGTTCAAGTGATTCTCCTGCCTCAGCCTCCCGAGTAGCTGGGACTACCAGCGCCCGCCACCATGCCTGGCTAATATTTTCTGTTTTTAATAGAGATGGGGTTTCACCATGTTGACCAGGCTGGTCTTGAACTCCTGACCTCAGGTGACCTGCCCGCCTCAGCCTCCCAAAGTGCTGGGATTACAGGCGTGAGCCACTGCACCTGGCCCCGTGGTTGGCTTTTACTCCTTCCATTCTGCCACCCTGAAGCTGATCCTCTGGAATTTGCTTGTTTTTGGTGTGTCCAGAAATGAAGGTCTATCAGTTCTTGAAATTGGGTTGTTTTAAGTAACTGATGTGCCGGGATGACAGTGAAGAAGACAAGATAGGGATTCCTCTTCCTAAACTTTAGGGCCTGAAGGGACTCCTCATTGACAGCAGACGGGATTTTTAATTTCATTCTGGGATGGAGGAAGTGGAGAGGTGATCCAGGCTGGATTGAAATCTCTCAAGCCTGGGAGATTTTGCCCAAAGACTTGTGACATGGGAACAGTAGAAACATTGGGAAAATTGGACTTTCAGGTCAGCATTCTGGGAATTTCCCCAGTCTTCCCAGGGTGGGATCATCTGGCCCCAGTTATGGGAATAATTCCACATAAATAGAAGATGACTTGGGAAGTCAGGGAGGAGGTGGAGGACCACTGTTCTGATCAGCCTCCTTCAACCTCACAGTGGGGTTGGTCTCAGATGGTGCCCAGGAACCTGCCAGCAGCGGCACTTTGATGGCACCAAGATAGTGGGTGCTGGGACCCAGATTTGCTTCCTACTCATGTCTCCCTAGCCACTGAAAAATGGAATATCAGTGAGGAATATCTTAGAGGGCTGCCTTTGCTCCTTTTGCCAGAGAACCAATATTGGTTATGAACAATTGGGCCGCATCTGGTGTGCAGAAAAATGAATATTTTAATAGTGCTTCATAGGGTATCGTAGCATCTTATAAAAAGTGGCCTATCAAATGATTGATTCAATCATTTAAAATGCATTAGCAGAGGATGCCTATCAGACTAAGACATCCGTGTTTCTGATCCAGTGAAAAGGGTCCAGGTAAGGAACACATATTAAGCCTCTTGGCATCCTTGTGTGAGCACCGTGCATGACGTGGCCATCAGTATCATTGTTTTCTTTGAGTTTTTGCTTGAGTGTTGAGATGTGTGAGGGATAGAAGATCCTTGTTTGCTTCTAGTCCTGACCTACACTGTCCATTAGGGAAATAATTTGTTTTCTTGAACCCATCATATGAATAATTTTGTTTTTAATCAATAGAAACAAATGGTCTTTATTTAACTAACAGAAAAAATTCCAATGAGGCCAGGCCACATAGGTTTCTGTAAATGTCATATCATTTCTGTTCTGTCCCCTCAGCTAAGAGTATAAAAAGTTCAGGCTACCTCCAGGGGCTTTTGCCTACTTAAATTGTATTACTTAGAGATGAGCTAGTACTTGGTTTTAAAAGTAATTTTTTTTTTCTTTTTTGAGACGGAGTTTTGCTCTTGTCGCCCAATCTGGAGTGCAATGGCACAATCTCGGCTCACTGCAAGCTCCACCTCCCAGGTTCAAGAGATTCTCCTGCCTCAGCCTCCCAAGTAGCTGGGATTACCGGTGCCTGCCACCATACCTGGCTAATTTTTGTATTTTTAGTAGAGACGGGGTTTCACCATGTTGGGCAGGCTGGTTTCAAACTCCTGACCTCAGGTGATCCGCCTGACTGAGCCTCCCAAAGTGTTGTGATTACAGGCGTTAGCCACTGCTCCTGGCCCTAAAAGTAACATTTCTAAGCTTTGTACTTACGACACCAAAAACACACAGACTGACATCTAAGTAATTAAGTCAACCATTAAGATGTTTAGTTATGTCATGCAAAATAATAATCTCCAGTGAGTTCTCAAAGAATTCAGTAGTTTGATGTTATTGCCAGCACAGCCTTTACTGAGTCCTCTTATAAATCTTAAAGAAAAATGTAAGATTTTTAATTTTTAAAGATTTAAAAATTTGTAATTAAATTTTTTTTTTAGGGCTGGATTCTTGGTCTGTCGTCCAGGATAGAGGGCAGGGATACCATCACTACTCACTATAACCTCAAACTCCTGGGCTCAAGCAATCCTCCCACCTCAGCCTCCTGAGTAGCTGGGACTACAGGCATGCCCCACCACATTCGGCTAATTTTTAAAATTTTTTTGTAGAGACAGGGTCTCACTATGTTGTCCAGGCTGCTCTCGAAATCCTGGCCTAAAGTGATCCTCCTGCCTCAGCCTCCTGAGTAGCTGGGTTAGATCCTGGCAAATGAAAGGGCCCCCAACTTTGAACTACCTTTGGGGAAGATCTCACTGTGTTCCCTTTGGGGATTGAGGATGTGGTTCAAGAGAGAAGAGTGCACTCTAGGCAAACCTGCTAATTCTGTTCCTCAAAAGAAGGCAGGGAGAGGAGAGAAAATGCATTTCTGTTTGCTGCCTAAAGGTTTATTTGCTTGATTTCCTTTGGGAAATGGAATGACTCTGTGTGCCTGGGTTATAGTTGATGGAATAAAGCATCATTTTATGCTGTACCTGAGAAATAATATCTGAACCTACATAAAAATAATAAAGTGGGTCAGCTCCCTCTGGGAATGTTCTGTGTCTGCCCCTGGACTCCCACTTCCATGAATATGTATGGATAATGCCTGCCATTACTTTATAGTTATGGGCCTGTCAACCCTATACGTATTAATACATCCCTAGGCTTTCTTGTAGTCCCATAAGGTAATAAAAACAGTTTTAACAGCAATGCCATATATCCAGTTGGACATTTCTTAAAAACAAAACACTCTCTGCTGAATTATAAACTGTTGCACAGGATAGAGGCTGTTTTGCAAGGGCCACCCCCTACCCGCCCCCACCCAGCCTGGCCCCCCTAGTATCAGGGCTTGAGCTGGGGCAGGACTGGCCTGTCGGTGATGCCTGTGAGTCTGAGTTCAGATGACTCTGGAATAATCCTTGCTTCTAGGGCCCATTCTACACTGCTGAGTAGTTCCTGCCTGCCCACCTTTGTTACTCTTTCGCTTTATGACTTCAGGATGATTTTTTTTTTTTTTTTTTAGACAGAGTCTTGTTCTTTCCCCCAGGCTGGAGTGCAGGAGTACAGAGGCATGATCCCAGCTCACTGCAACCTCCGCCTCCTGAGTTCAAGTGATCCTCCCACCTCAGTTTCCCGAGTAGCTGGTATTACAGGCATGTGCCACCACGCCCGGCTAGTTTTTGTATTTTTAGTAGAGATGGGGTTTCTCCATGTTGGCCAGGCTGGTTTTGAACTTCTGACCTCCAGAGATCCACCCACCTCAGCCTTCCAAAGTGCTGGGATTAGAGGCGTGAGCCACTACGTCTGGCCTGAATATTTTTTCTTGAGTGCTTGGTCTCAAATTGAAAAAAAAGAAAAAAATAAAATAGCCATCACCCCATTGACCCTGAAAGGAATGGCTCTGTTAAGTATCCATTACGTACCAGCCACTGCTGTCGGCACCTTATGTGTTTTAAGTCATGACATACATCATCATAGTAACCCCAACGAGGCAGCTGCTGTCATTGTTTCTACTTTGCATGTGAAGAGGGTGAGGCACTGACGGGATAGGTCATGTTCCCAAAAGCACATGATCAAGACAGAAGTCCAGGCGGTCTAGCTCCAGAACCTAGCTCTTCATACCCTAGTGCCTCCATCAGGAGCAGTTGCTTATAATATGCCTGGGACCCTTAGAAACCCAAGACCAAGGAAGCTTCCTGGATTCCAAGCTGCTATATTGCCTCTGTAGCTCCCTCAAAAGTCAATTTTATTCACTGAAACTAAACAAGGCCAGTTGCTGTGGCTCCGGCCTGTAATCCCAGCACTTTGTGAGGATGAGATGAGAGGATCACTTGAGCTCAGGAGTTTGAGACCAGCCTGGCCAACATGGGGAGACCTGTCTCTTCCTAACTAACTAACTAACTAAATAAATAAATAAATATTAGCGGGATATGGCTGGCCAGCTAGTCAGGTCCCAGCTACATGAGAGGCTGAGGCAGGAGGATCCCTTGAGCCTACGAGATCGAGGCTGCAGTGAGCTGTGATAGTGCCACCACTACACTCCAGCCTGGGCAACAGAATGAGACTTCATCTCAAAAAATCAAACCGAAACAAAATTAAAAAACAACTACTACTAAAGAATCCCCCACTGAAATAAAGCCATTTCAAGTCTTCTATTTGCTCAGCTCAGTTGAGCCTTGGTGTCCCACATGCTGTTGCTGGGCAGAACACTTTGCTTTACTTTCATCCTCCCAGCTCAGAAAACATTCTTAGGCCCATACAAGCCACACCTGATGACCAGCATGCAATTATAAATGCTAAGATTGTAAAAATAGGAGGGGCTTTTTTGCTCAGGAGTTTCCCCTTTCTCCTTCCAGGCCAGTCACTCAATTTCTTTGTTTTTTTTTTTTTTTTTTTTGAGACGGAGTTTCACTCTATCGCCCAGGCTGGAGTGCAGTGGTGTGATCTCGGCTCACTGCAAGCTCCACCTCCCAGGTTCATACCATTCTCCTGCCTCAGCCTCCTGAGTAGCTGGGACTACAGGTGCCCACCACCATGCCCGGCTAATTTTTGTATTTTTAGTTTCACTGTGTTAGCCAGGATGGTCTCGATCTCCTGACCTCATGAGCCGCCTGCCTTGGCCTCCCAAAGTGCTAGGATTATAGGCGTGAGCCACTGCACCCGGCCCAGTCACTCAATTTCTTAATGTATAGTTTCCATAAGTAAGTAGTGTCCCAGCCAGGCGCGGTGGCTCATGCCTGTAATTCCAGCAATTTGGGAGGCCGAGGCAGGCAGATCATCTGAGGTCAGGAGTTCAAGACCAGCGTGGGCAACATGGAGAAACTCCCACTCTACTTAAAATACAAAAATTAGCTGGGCATGGTGGCATGTGCCTGTTGTCCCAGCTACCTAGGAGGCTTAGGCAGGAGGATGGCTTGAACCCAGGAGGTGGAGGTTGCAGTGAGCTGAGATTGCACCACTGCACTCCAGCCTGGGCGACGGAGTGAGACTCCACCTTAAAAAAAAAGAAAAAAAAAGGGAAGTGTCCTTATGAAGCCATCCAGTCAGACTTTTCCAAGCACAGAAATGCAACACACAGACACACAGAGCAAGACACTAGTCAGGGCTCAAATCCTGGCACCACCATTGGGCAGCAGAATGACTTTCAGGAAGTGACTTAACTTCTGTAAACAGTTTCCTTACCTGTAAAATGTAGATGATATTAGTACCTACTCCATAGTATTCTTAAGAGGAAGCATGCAAAAAAAGAAATGCTTAGCACACTTCCAGAAACATAGTAAGCACAAAATAAAGGAGGCTGTCATGGTTATTAGGATCATCTCATCTTTGCTCAAATACTTTCAGTGATGGGGAGCTACTGGCCTCCTAAGCTTGTTGGCAAGCTCTAGTTCAAGGAGTCTTAGGATTCTAGATATGGAAGGCCAATTAATCCAACTTCATTCGTTCCCTGGCAAGAAATCTGAGGCATGGAAAGATTAAATGATTTATCCAAGGATGTACCACTAGCCAAGGACAGGGCCAACACTAGAACTTCAGAGCATCTGATGTCTGCTCTATGTCCTTTCCTTTCTTCAGTTATGACCAAGTCTGCCTTCCTGTCATTTCCCCTACAGGTCCAACTTTCTTTCTTTTTTTATTTTTTGAGACAGAGTCTCGCTCTGTTGCCCAGGCTGGAGTGCAGTGGCACGATCTCAGCTCACTGCAAACTCCACCTCCCGGGTTCACGCCATTCTCCTGCCTCAGCCTCCCGAGTAGCTGGGACTACAGGTGCCCGCCACCCCACCACCATGCCCAGCTAATTTTGTTTTTGTATTTTTAGTAGAGATGGGGTTTCACCGTGTTAGCCAGGATGGTCTCGATCTCCTGACCTCGTGATCTACCCGCCTTGGCCTCCCAAAATGCTGGGATTATAGGCCTGAGCCACCGTGCCCGGCCCAGGTCCAACTTTCACCCTGTTATGGTCCCTGGCAGTACATCTTAGATACCCTAAAAACATGAGTGTTGAAGTGAGAGTTCGCATGGCCCATGACCAGACTGTCATAAATACTAGAATTCTTGCTTTTGTCTTGGCACTTCACAGATAGGCGATGGAACCGCAAGAGCTGCCCTTTGTTTTTGAATATGGCATGGCTCTGCTATTTCTTATATTTCCTTTTCACGTTGTGTTGAAACAAGCTCTTGCTCTGTCACCTAGGGTGAGTGCAGTGGCATGATCATAACTCACTGTAACATCGAACTCCTGGGCTCAAGTGATCTCAGCTCAGTCTCCCAAGTAGCTGGTACCATAGGTACTTGCCACCATGCCTGGCTAATTCTTTTTTCTTTTGTAGAAACAGGGTCTCACTATGTTGCCTAGGCCAGTCTTGAACTCCCAGGCTCAAGTGATCCTCTCTCCTTGGCCTCCCAAAGTGCTGGGATTACAGGCATGAGCCTTTGGGCCCAACCTTGTGTTCTATCAAAAATAGTCTTAACACACAATTCTCCATATTATTTTACTTGGACTTGTTTTGAGTAACACTTTATTCATCCTTCAATCTGTCAAATGAGTGTCTACTCTTTGCCAGACACCATGATATACAGAGGAAAAGACATGCTCTCTGCTCTCCAGATGCTAACACAGTAGTGGAATGACAGGCCCATAAATGATGGCAATTGAGCAATATTTAATATGATGGAGATAAGATGGCTGCAAGGTTCCCTGGAGCAGAGAGGAAGGGGGTTCGATCTGTCTTGGGTTAGGGATGCAAGTAAGAATGGAATGGGCTCTGGAGGGAGAAAGCTGAGGAGGTTATCTATGGCTGTGCAGGAGTAAGTGGTGCCATTTACTGTGGCAGAGACGGGCTAACTGTTCGAGCGTCTGTCTCCCCTTCTTCCTGTGCTTACCAGTGATCTTTGTGGTCAGGAGCCCAAGTGACTGAGGCTTAGACAAGAAAATCTGAGCAGAAGTGATGCCTGCGACTTCACGGCCTGGCCCACAGGCTCTCTACTTTGCAATTCTTTGTGTGCCTTCTCTGTGTCCATGTGGACAAAGACAGCAGATGGGAAGCCATATGTCTGTCGCAAGATGGAAGGGTCTGGGTGCCTGGCTCAGATGAGCGCCTCCTACTGATCACGAATGTGTGTTCTGGGCTTTATGTTAATGAGAAATAAGCTTCTATTGTGTTGAGAGCCATTCTACGTTTTAGGGTTAATTTTGTTGTTGTTGAAGCAGTCAGTGTCACCTCTAATACTGTGATTACTAAACTCAGAAGTTTGGATTTATTTATGCCATGTTGAAGCCAACCAAACTAACCATGCTGGTTTGGAAAGATACAACCAGTAACCCTGGCTTCTCAGTGTATTAGCCAGCGGACTAACTTGGGAGCTAGACTCACAATATGTTCTTTTCCTGGAAAATTCCATTTGAGATATATTGGGCTCTTTATCCTTAAAGAAATCATCTTAGCCCTGATTGAAATGTTCCTGTTTCTCCTAGATAACGTGGCTTACTTTAGAGCAGGTTGCTGCTGCTAAAAATCTACAGCTTGCTTTTTTTTTTTCTAAGCAAAAGGGAAGGAGCAGGGGAAGCAACTTTATTCCCTATAAAGAGGAGGAAAAGAGGACTCCCAGCTTATGCATGAGTGTGGAGAAGACAAGACAGAATTTTGTCTCATGCCAGTGTGACTTTTCAGCGTTTTCCCTCCAGTTTGCTAGACTTCTCACACATCTTACTTGATCTTAATCAGATCATATCATATTTCATTATATTTTTATTGTTATTTTGACAGCTCTACCACAAAACTACCCATGGAGTTGTATGTTTACTGACACAACCAAAAAAGGAATAAATTGGAGAACTTAAAAGAAAAAAAGATGTTTGGATATTGACACTCTTCGGGTACATAAATGTGCAACAGATTTTCTATTCATTTATGCATCTGTATTAGTTACTATTGCAGCATAACAAATCACTTCAAAACTTAGCGGCTTACAACATCAATCATTCGTCTTCTTGTAAAGTTTCTAAAGGTCAGGAATGTGAGAATGGCTTAGCTGGGTGGTTCTGGCTCAGGGTCTTCCATTAGGCTGCAGTCAAGATGTTGGCTGGGAATGCCATCGTCTCAAGGCTTGCCTGTGGCTGGAGGATTTGCTCCAGAAGGGTTCATGTACATGGCTGTTGCTGGAGGCCTCAGTTCCTCATTATGTGGGCCTTGCCATAGGGCTGCTCACAATACATCAGCTACTTCCACTCAGACTGAGAGATTCAAGAGAGAGTGAGGAAGAAACTGTGATGCATTTTGTGATCTAGTCCCTGAAATTATATGCCTTCACTTCTGCTTCATGCTAATTTTTAATACTTTTTACATTTTTGTTTTTGTAGAGATGAGGTCTTGCTACATTGCCTAGGCTGGTTTAGAATTTCTGGCCTTAAGCCATCCTCCTGCCTTGGCCTCCCCAAACTGGGATTACTGGTGTGGGCCACCATGCCCAGACACTTCTGCTTTGTTTTTTTCATTAGAAGTGAATCACTAAATCCAGCCTACACTTAAAGGGAGAGTAATTAAGTTCTATTTCTTGAAAGGAAAAGTGTCAAGGAATTTGTGTGTGTGTGTGTGTGTATATATATATATATATATATATATTTTTTTTTTTTTTTTTTTTGAGACAGAGTCTTGCTCTGTTACCAGGCTAGAGTGCAGTGGCAAGTGGCGCTATCTCAGCTCACTGCAACCTCCATTTCCCTGGTTTGAGTGATTCTCCTGCCTTAGCCTCCCAAGTAGCTGGAGTTACGGGCATGCGCCACCACATCCAGCTAATTTTTGTATTTTTAGTAGAGATGGGATTTCACCATGTTGGCCAGGATAGTCTCGATCTCCTGACCTCGTGATCCACCTGCCTCGGCCTCCCGAAGTGCTGAGATTACAGGCATGAGCCACCATGCTCGGCCTATATATATCGTGAAATCCCATCTCTACTAAAAATACAATAATTATCCAGACATGGTGGTGGGCACCTGTAACCCCAGCTACTTGGGAGGCTGAGGCAGGGTAATTACTTGAACCCAGGAGGCAGAGGCTGTAATGAGCCAAGATTGCACCACTGCCCTCCAGCCTGGGCAACAGAGTGAGACTCTGTCTCAAAAAAAAAAAAAAAAAAGAAAGAAAGAAACACACACACACACAAATTCCTTGACATTTTTCCTTTCAAGAAGTAGAACGTAATTACTCTCCCTTTAAGTGTAGGCTGGATTTAGTGATTTAGCATAAAGCAGAAGTGAAGGCATACAATTTCAGGGACTAGATCACAAAATGCACCACAGTTTCTTCCCCACTCTCTCTTGAATCTCTCAGTCTGAGTGACTGCACCCGACCTGTGGATGTGTTTTAAAGCCACGACAGCGTCCAATATTGTTCTAGTAACTCTTTTGTACCAGGCACTGTTCTAGGCACTGGAAACCCAGGAATAAAGAAAACAATGAGGTTAGGTGCAGTGGCTCATGCATGTAATCTCAGCACTTTGGGAGGTGAAGGCAGGAAGATCGCTTAAGCCCAGGAGTTCGAAACCAGCCTGGAGAACATAGGGAGACCCCATCTCTACAAAAAAATAAAAGCCAGACATGGTGACATGTACCTGTAGTCCCAGCTACTTGGGAGGCTGGGGTGGGAGGATCACTTGAGCCTGGGAGATCATAGCTGCAGTGAGCTATGATTGTGCCACTGTACTTCATCCAGGGTGGCAGAACAAGATCCTGTCTTGAGGGGAAGGGAGGGGAGGGGAGGGGAGGGGCGGACGGGTCAGCTTGGAGATGTTTTCAGCCCTCTTTCTCCACTATAGGGTATAATATCAATCAGTTATCTTTGCTGATTGCCTGCTATGTCTCAAAATGCAAAGAAGGAAAATATTATATATGGAATGTGGAGTTGAGGACATGCCAGAATTATGTTTTTCACCTGATATTTCTCAATCATAAATATAACATACACATTTAGATGTGCTTCATGCTGTGTACTTATGAGCGTCAAAGAAACCTTTGTGCAAACAAAGATTTACATTTTTCCCCACGAATTCTGTTTTCTAGCCAACATGCTTATTTATAAGTTGCAGATAGATAGACTAAAAAGTAGAAAACAATGAAAGAAACATAACTTTTATGACATTGACACAATGAGCTACTTACGACTTACAATAAGAGTAACTATAAAAAATTACATTCTCACGGCCAGGCGCGGTGGCTCACGCCTGTAACCCCAGCACTTTGGGAGGCTGAGGCGGGCGGATCACGAGGTCAGGAGGAGACCATCCCGGCTAACACGGTGAAACCCCGTCTCTACTAAAAATACAAAAAATTAGCCGGGCGTGGTGGCGGGCGCCTATAGTCCCAGCTACTCTGGAGGCTGAGGCAGGAGAATGGCGTGAACCCAGGAGGCAGAGCTTGCAGTGAGCTGAGATCGCACCATTGCACTCCAGCCTGGGCAACAGAGTGAGACTCCCTGTCAAAAAAAAAAAAAAAATTACATACTCACTGTAGGATTGATTAATTCAGGTGAGTCTTTTAAAACTACAGTTGACTCTTGAACAACACGGGTTTGAACTTCATGGGTCCACTTATAAGTGGATTTTTTTTCAACCAAACTTGGATCGAAAATACAGTATTCCTGGACAAGAAACCCATGTACACAGAGGGCCAACTTTTTCTGTACACAGGGCTGAGTATAGGACTTGAGTATGGTCAATGTGGAATATGTGGGGATTCTAGAACCAATCTTCTGTGCAACAGAGGGAAGAATCTACTCCTTTTGACAAATGGATAAATGGATAAATGGAAGTAACCTTGGGTAACCTTGGATGCTCTGAGATGTACCAACTCTGACGTCAGAGAAGTAATGCCTTAGACTTCTAGGAGCCAACTCTACATAACCTAGCAGCCCTGAGCAGGATGCAGGAGCTGAAATACCCACTGAAGACTCTTAGAATCACACGTCAGAGGTCAGAGGCAGAAAGATCATTGAACATGTGCTAGTCCAACCTCTCCATTTCACACTGTAGAGACAGGCTCAGAGAAGACAGGGGACTCACTCTACATCACTCAGTGGTAGGTGGCAGATGTGAGATTGCAACCCAAATATCCTGGTTTCAATCCTGACTTATTTCCCTAAAACCCACTTTGCCTCTTGCAGTAGCAGTGCCCAAGGGGTGCTTACTGAGCAGGGGCAATGCCATGTTTCCAGAGGGAAAGGCAGCTGGCTGTCATTAACTTCTATAGCACTCCTATTCTTTGCAAATTGCCATCCAAACATTTTGTGCAATGTAAAGGTAACCAATACTTTTGATAACTTACTGTTGCTAGGAACTGTTCTCAAACTCATTTAATTATCATAAAAACCCCATGAGGTTGGTATTACTATGATCCCCTTTTCATAAGCAAGGAATCAAGGCACTGAGAGGTTATGGTAGAAAGTGGCAGAGCTGGTGCTCAAATCCTGACAATTTGGCTCAAGGGCTCATGCCCTTTAGTGCTAGGTTATAAATAATTCTAACTCCCCTGCTCACTGACAGTGTTTCTCCCCTATGCTGAGGCTGTTCCTGCCAGGATTCTTTGCTTCTGCTACAGATGGATTCCTCCTGTGTTTTCCTAATTAACCTTCAAGGCCTACAGCAACAGCCCAACCTCATCCAGGAAGTCTTTCTGGATTTCCTCCAGGCTGTGAGGCAATAATTTTGCGGCCAGATCCTTGAAATACTCCTTATTCAGCACTTTCCTGCCCCTCAGTGCAGCAGAGGCTCTCTTTATACACAGGTGAATTACAGTCTAAGGCAATGGCACCAGGAGTGGGCTAGAAAAGGGAGCCCTGGGCTCTAGTCCCTGTTCTGCTACTATCCTGTCTAGTGACTCTGGAAAGTCTGTCAAACCATCTGAGCTTTTGAATCTGTAAGACGAACTGTTGGCCGTTCTGTAATCCCAGTGAAATGATTTATTCCAGTAAGACTTGTCAGTCTTAGCAGTGTCTTACCAGACTTAGCAGTGTCTGCTAAAACATGAGGTGGGAAGATGCTGGGAGCAGGCTGCTTGTGTGTTTCAATCTGTCACCCCACAGATTGCTTGCTCTGTACAAATGGAAAGCAATCCTTTCATTTGGAGAGACCTGAGGTCACCATCTCAACTAAGAGGTTGAGCATCATTAAACAGGGGATGGTGTGAACTTGGGAGCCTCTTGATGTGACACAATACAAAATGCACTGCAGCATCTATGAACATTTTCTTTTTCTTCTGACAGATTTATTTAGGTATAATTCATACATCACACAATCCACCCATTTAAAGATACAGTTCAAAGGCTTTTTATATTCACAGAGTTGTACCACCACCAGAATCTAATTTTAGAACATTTTCATCACCCCCAAAAGAAGCCCCATAGCCATGAGCAGTCATTTCTCTATCCCCCTCCTACCACCCCCAGGCCTAGGCAACCACAAATCTACTTTCTTTTCTGTGTATTTTCTTATTATGAACATTTTATATAAGTGGAATCATATATTATTAATATGTGGTCTTTTGTCACTGGCTTCTTTCACCCAGGATGTTTTCAAGGTTCCTCAAGATATCAGCACTTTATTCCTTGTATAATATTCCATTGTATGAATATGCCACATTTTATCTTTTTTTGTTTTGTTTTGTTTTTTGAGACAGAGTCTTAACTCTGTCACCTAAGCTGGAGTGCAGTGGTGTGATCTTGGTTCACTGCAACCTTTGCCTCTTGGGTTAAACGATTCTCATGCCTCAGCCTCCTGAGTAGCTGGGATTACAGGTGTGTGCCACCATGCCCAGCTAATTTTTGTATTTTTAGTAGAGACAGGGTTTCAGCATGTTGGCCAGGCTGGTCTCAAATTCCTGACCTCAAGTGATCCACCCACCTTGGCCTCCCAAAGTGCTGGGATTACAGGTGTGAGTCACCACACCAGTGAATTTGCCACATTAAAAAAATCTATTATTTAATGGACAGTTGAGTTGTTTTCCAGTTTTCGGCGATTATCAATAACGTTGCTATGAACACTTGTTACAAGTTTTTGTTTGGACATGTTTTCATTTTTTTTGGGTGTACACCTCAGAGCAGAACTGCCGGATCAGGCGGGAACTCCAAGCTTCGTATTTTGAAGAGCTTCCAGATTGTTTTCTAAAACTGCTGCACTGTGTCATATTTGTACTTAAGTTTTCTTGTCAAGCATGTTTAATCAAGTTAATCAAGACTTTTGACATAATTTCTGGTTTTGGTTTATAGGAAACATTGACAGAGAAAAACATTAACGGACACCATGAGGGGGCAATGAAGCAAATCTATAAAGTAGGACATTCTATGACTGGCCTGAGCGCTTCAAAAAGTCAGGGTGCCGGTGTCCTGATGGAAGAGGAGTGGTGGTGACTGTTTTAGATTAAAAGATACTGAAGAGGCCGGATGCAATGGCTCACGCCTGTAATCCCAGCAGTTTGAGGGGCTGAGGCAGGTGGATCACCTGAGGTCAGGAGTTCGAGACCAGCCTGGCTACCATGACAGAACTCTGTCTCTACTAAAAATGCAAAAATTAGCCAGGAGTGGTGGTGGGCGCCTGTAATCCCAGCTACTCTGGAGGCTGAGGCAGGAGAATCGCTTGAACTCGGGAGGCAAAGTTTGCAGTGAGCCGAGATTGTGCCTCTGCACTCCAACCTGGGCAACAGAGCGAGACTCTTGTCTCGAAAAAAGAGAAAAAAAAGATACTAAAGAAACATGACAACCAAATCCAATGTGTAAACCTTAATTGCATTCTGGTTAGAACAAAACAGCACCAAAAGATGTTTTGGGGACAAGTTAGAATATTTGAATATTTATGGGATATTAATGGTATTAGGGAGTTAAAATTTTCTTAGATATAATAGTAGTACTCTGGTTAGATAGGAGAATGTTCTGATTTTTAAGAGATGTGGCCAAATTATTTAGGGGTTTTAAGTGTCATGATCTCTGCAACTTACTTTCAAGTTGTTCAAAAATATCACACACACACAGCGATAAAGCAAGTAATCGCAGCTGTTAGTTTTTTAATCGAAGGGGTGAGTATGTGGGTGCTCAGTATATTCCTTTAGCTTTTCTGACTGTTGACATTTTTCATAATAAAAAGTTGGAAAGAAAGGAGACCACACGCTCCATGATTGATAATTTAGCCATCTCTCCCCAGTTAGACTACAAACCCCTGAAGGTCTAGGGCCTGACTCTGTACCTCCGTAGCCAAGCCTGGTGCTAATGCCTCAATATAGGTGCCTGGTCCTTAACTAGAGGCAATAGAGAAATTTCGCACAGACCAGCAATTCAAAAAATGTGGCTGCAGTTGAAGAAGACATTGTCATTCTTCACTGTTTATAGCCTTAGCTTGGAAAATGAGAGGGTGGTAATTGCAGTCATGTTCCCGATGCCTGCCAGCGAAAACAAACTTTTCTAACTTTGCTCTCAGAGCAGTTGATGCAAAAGAAAATAGAAATCAACCAGCCTCCCAATTAGCATCACTCATTTTAATTTGATTGCTGTTTCTGCCCAAGCGAAAGCAAGTTAGCTAAGTAAAATCCTGAAACAACACATAACCCCTGGGCTACTGCACTCATGACTGTCCTAAAAGATACAGGCTTTGGAAAGGTCCTGGGCAGATATGCATCATTCTTATTACATAGGGGATGGTGACTGTTGTAGATTAAAAGATAGGGGCATTTCAAAGACTAGCCCTGGCGGAGGGTATGATCCTGGGGATATTACAGAAAAGTTAGGGTCACCTGGGCCAACTCAGTGTAATCCTAATATAATATTATTTCAGCCTTCCATTTTCTCCCTGTCCCTCATAGGAGATGGGAAATCATTGTCCTCTGCCAGTATAGCTGCTTTCATTTTGAAACATAAATTGAGCCACTTTTTCTCTATAGTATTGGTTTTAGGATTATGGAGTGAGCACTAGACATAGAACATGTACCTCAAGAGAAACTGAAAATCCAGTGCTTGAACTAGATAAGTCTATGCGGCCATTTCTCATTCAAAGATAGCACATCTCAAACCTCTTAGAGACACCTAATTGCAAATGTTTTGCCTTGTTATGTCTATAAACCGATAAAATGTCCTAGACATTTCTTACTTTTGGAATTAAATCTATATTTCTCAGATCGCTTACTTCTAGCCCCTTGTGATACAGAAATCCTATTTCATACAATATGTTCTATCAGTTTTTGGAAAGCATAGTCACTACGCAAGTTGTCGCATAGCAAGAATGGGCTGTTTTCCCTGGTAAAGAACAGCTTCATTTTATCCAAAAGCCTGATCACACGTGCTAAATTCTAAGAATAGTGCTGACTTAAATACTGTGCATTTTTGCTAAGTCATGTATTCAAACCATGTATCAACCCAACATATATTAAACTTTTATTTGCAGAAAATATGGTGGCCATTGCTCTACTCACATGCTAACCCTGTAACCATTGTTCTGAAACAATCCCTTCATTAACAGAATTTAGGCTGTGTACAGGTGAAACTGGTCTCCACTGAGATTTCTAGGGGGACAAAATGAACTCCATTAAATTTCACACAAGGAAAAGAAAACTGAGACAAAAATCTTTGCCCATGGCAATATTTTCTAAGGTGTGTTTCAGAAAAAAAAATTTATGTTCAAACTGATTTGGGAAAAGCTGCATACCAAGTGCCTCTGTTGAAGGTCCCAATGCACACTAATATATCGAAGGCTTAAGAAAGTCCTATAGTGAGAGGCCGGGCACGGTGGCTCACGCCTGTAATCCCAGCATTTTGGGAAGCCTAGGCGGGTGGATCATGAGGTCAGCAGATCAAGACCATCCTGGCTAACACGGTGAAACCCCGTCTCTACTAAAAATACAAAAAATTAGCCGGGCGCGGAGGTGGACGCCTGTAGTCCCAGCTACTCAGGAGGCTGAGGCAGGAGAATGGCGTGAACCCGGGAGGCGGAGCTTGCAGTGAGCCGAGATCGCGCCCCTGCACTCCAGCCTGGGCGACAGAGCGAGACTCTGTCTCAAAAAAAAAAAAAAAAAAAAAAAAAGTCCTACAGTGAGAAATCTGTTTAACTCTGTTTTACTTCAGTGTCCTCTAAATTTATTGGCCCACAAGATGTTTTGTAAAAATTGCATAACATCACTTAACATCTCAAGGAAGACACTTTGGGAAATGATAACCTTTAATTATGACAAAGAACAACATGATACTCAAAGTATAAAAAAAAGTTAGGACACAATCAGAGAAATTGGAATGCTAACTGAATATTTGATAGTAACAAATTAATACTTTTTTTAAAGTATAATAATGAGATTCTGGTTCTGTGGAATTTTTTCCTTGAGTTGTTAACACACGCTGAGTTATTTACACATGAAATGATTTAATATCTGGGGTTTGCTTAAAAATAATCCAAAGTGAGGCAGTTTAGGGTAGTTGGCTGTACGAATTGAGATCAGACGTCAGTTGATAACTGAGCATGAATTTTTGTAAAAGAACATGGTCATGTTTTTAAAAATTCTGACATTGAAGATCTGAGTGTCTGAGTATTTTTTTTTTTTTTTCAGCTAAAACAGCGGAAGAGGTGATTTATTATATGGTTGTTACACTCGGCCACAAATAAACACAGAAATAGTCCAGAGTGTCACAGGTCCAGGGCAGAGGACCGACATGGGCAGTTTTGTTTATGAGCAAGTTGGGTCTCAGAGGTGATCGGCGATCAGAGGGTGATGAAGTTCTAGATCCATTGAGACAAGCTCTAGGCAGTAGCATGTAGTCCCACAACTTGTACCAGCACCCCCAGAGTCTGGTGTTCCATGTTTCTGCTCCTGTGGCCTCCACGGTGCAACAAGCTAGCGGTTTACTTGGACCTCTGCCTCATCTTTCTTCTTTGGCGCTACAGCTTGCGCATTCGCTTCTTCCTCCACTTGGCTCTCATGGCGCAGAGGTTTCCAAGAAAATGGCGCTAAGGTCGAGAGCCTGAGTATTGTTTTGATGACAAGAACTTGCTTCAAAAAGTATCTCTAAGTAACTTCTAATTTATAGAATAATAGTAAAATGAGTATTTCTTTTTATTATTATTTTTTAAGACAGAGTCTTGCTCTTTTGCCCAGGCTGGAGTGCAGCTATACAGTCTTGGGTCACTGCAACCTCCACATACTGGATTCAAGCGGTTCTCCCACCTCAGCTTCCTGAGTAGCTGGGATTACAAGCATGCGCCACCATGCCTGGCTAATTTTTGTATTTTTAGTAGAGACAGGGCTTCACCATGTTGGCCAGGCTGGTCTCAAACTCCTGACCTCAAGTGATCTGCCCACCTTGACCTTCCGAAGTGCTGGGATTACAGGCGTGAGCCACCGTGCCTGGCCCAGTAAAATGAGTATTTCTAAGCAGATGCTAAAAACCCGAAGTAGGAGCATTCCTTAGCATCCAGCTAAAGGCTGCCACCGTGCAATAAGCACTTGCTAATTAATACATTGACATTGTGGAGAAGTGAGGGGTATTCCAGTGCATTTTATGCATCCACACACTTTATTTCCATGGGTGGAATTTGTGAGAATCCAGAATCTTAAACCAGTAAACTAAAGGTCTCGTTTAACAAGTTATGACTAGGAGTTCAAGAGACTTTATATAACATGGTAAGCTCTAGTGGCGCAGAGGCACAATGGAGAAAAGGACATGGCTTTGGAATCAGATTATTGGGTTTGCCTCCAGGTATTAATACTCTCTAGCTATGTGGTCCTGGGCAAGGGACTTTAGATCTTTTTGCTGTTTCCTCATCTATAAAGTTGGAATAACAACAATAATAATATCCTCCTTAGAAAGCTGTTGTGACTTTTAAACCAGATAATCTAACATAAAACACTTAGTGAATATATTTATTTATTTATTTACTTTTATTATTTATTTCTTTGAGGCAGAGTCTCACTCTGTCACCCAGGCTGGAGTGTGGTGGTGCGATCTCAGCTCACTGCAACCTCTGCCCCTTGGGTTCAAGCAATTCTCGTGCCTCAGCCTCCCAAATAGCTGGGACTACAGGTGCCACCACCACGCCGAGATAATTTTTGTATTTTTAGTAGAGACAGGGTTCCACCATGTTTCCTAGGCTGGTCTCAAACTCCTGGCCTCAAGTGATCTCCCTGCCTCGGCCTCCTAAAGTGCTGGGATTACAGGCTGAGCCACCGTCCCAGCCACTTAGTGACTATTTCACAATTATCCATCATCATCGTCATTGCCATCAACATCATCTTTCTAGGTAGTTCACGGCAGGGATGGCTCATGTTCTGAGTAACTCTTAGTTAAGTCCTCTCATTACTGAGTAATCATGAGCTCACTGTCCAAGGTGCAGAGAGGCTAATACCATTGGACCAGCTTTTGAGAAAAGAAAAGCTTTATTGTGAGTCGCCTGGCAAGCAGACAGGAGGAAATACTCAAATCTGTCTCCCTGTGCTGGGGTTTGGGTTGGGTTTATAAGCATAAGGTGATGAGATGTGATCTGATTGGATCTTGCAATGAGATTTGAGATGATGCTGGGAGGTAGGATCTGTCTGGATCCTGCCATGGGGTGATGCCAGAGCTTGATCTAAGTAGACCCTGGATCCTACCATGTTGTATCCACTTCTTAATTCAGTCCCTTCCCCTCAGTCTGAGCTCTTAGGTTTCCCCCTATGGTTGCACACTTGGTTCATCTGGGCATGCTCAGCTTATGTGACCTTCAATCTGTGCTTTATGACAACTGAAAAACAACTACAACATTGTGACATGAAAGCTGAGCCAGATTGGTCTGGTGTGGTCACACTCTGAGCCCGTGCTTCTCAGCGAAGAATGGGAAACTGTTATGAAACTAATGGAAATATGTAGCCACAAAGAGTTTCAAAGAGACACAGAATACTTTTTTTTTTTTTTTTGAGACAGGGTCTTGCACCATTGCCCAGGCTGGAGTGTAGTGATGTGATCTCAGTTCACTGCCGCCTCAGTCTCCTGGGTTCAAGCAATTCTGCCACTTCAGCCTCCTGAGTAGCTGGGATTACAGGGGCATGCCACCATGCCTGGCTAATTTCTGCATTTTTAGTAGAGACAGGGTTTCACCACGTTAGTCAGGCTGTTCTCGAACTCCTGACCTCAGGTGATCCATGCCTCAGCCTCCCAAAGTGCTGGGATTACAGGCATGAGCCACCACTGTGGCTGGCTGAGACACAGAATACTCTTTTATCTATGTTAGGAAGTATGTTTTCCCCTTTGAACAGCCTTTCTTACAGCTTGTTTAAATGAGAAGGGCAAGTGATACCACCTCAGTCTACCATGTTGAAATAGAAATTGGGTTGAATTCTAAATATTAAGCCTCTATAAGTAGCGTGTTAAATACTATTGATGATGTAGTTTATTCTAGTTTTAAATCATTGTAACATTCCTGAACAAAGCATGCATGGAGTGAATATTTACATTTTAAATTCTAATTTTTATAATATATTTTATAATAATTTCATATATATACCACCTAAGGAAAAAAAAGTCAAGAGTGATTATGCAGTGAGGGGCTTAGGCATCTAAGTATTTATTTCAAGCAACATTTAGTCTTTGCATATCTTTAATTTCCCTGCACAATTCCTTTGAGAATTTAAATAACTGTTAGCAAAATGTCAGGGGTTCGATCTAGGTCCTATTGCTCTTTGCACAGAAAGCCAATCACTGGGGCCAAGCACAGTGGCTCACACCTTTAATCCCAGCACTTTGGGTGGCTGAGACAGGTGAATCGCTTGAGCCCGGGAGTTCAAGACCAGCCTGAGCAATATGGTGAAACGCTGTCTCTACCAAAAATACAAAAATCAGCCAGTCTCATAGCCCAGCCTCAAAATAAATAAATGAATAGATTAAAATAATAATGAAGAAAGCCAATCACGGAGACAATGAATATTGCCAAGGAAAATACTTTAATTGATTGCTGCAGCCAAAAAGATGGGAAATCAGTTTCAAATCCATCTCTGCAACTGACTAAAACTAGGGGTTTATACAGCAGTGAAGGAATTTAACTGCATGTAGAAGAACAGAATTAGAGAGGGGTAAGGAAGAGGATTTGGTCGACGGGAACTATGTGTAGGTGAACAGGAATTAGGGAGGGGTCTGGCATCTCATTGTCCAGATGCAGTGATCTAATAAGTTTCAGTTCTTTGATACTATCTGGGAGGCCTGATGGTGGGTTTCCTAAGAAAGGAACTCAGATAAGACAAATGTAAGTTTCTCAAGTTTTAAGACCAGAGGGGTCTATTTCTATGTTTATTTTTTTTTAACCCATAAACTTCAGTTCTATGGGGATATTGGGCTGGTTTCATAATCAATTCAGATGATTTGGGGCAGTTAAATTGAAAGTATGCATATGTTTTAAAACTTCAGGTTTTTTCATTTCCCTGGGAATGTCACAACGATTCCTTGGGACTTAAAAGAAAATCTGCCTCAGATATTCAGAAAATTTTAGCAATGTAAGCACCTCCTGATTTTCATTCCGATCACGAACAGCAGTGGAAGAGTAGCCTGGTCTGGGCTAAAAGCTTTGTGAAAGTTTCTGAGCAAATTATTTCACTTCTGCTAAGCCTTGGGTTATTTATCTATTAAAAAAATTTTCAGTGGCAGTATTTGATTCAAGAGTTAGAAGGTATATGAAGTTAAGCATATAACATGCTAAACACTAGTCATTATTATTAATTATTTGTGAATAATCGTTAAGTGACTTATAGGGTTTTAAGATTTTTATTTTAGAGACAAAGTCTCTCTCTGTCACCAAGGCTGGAGTGCAGTGGCACAATCATAGTTCACTGTAACCTCAAACTCCTAGACTCAAGGGATCCTCCTGCCTCAGCCTTCTGAGTAGCTAGGACTATAGGCATACATCACCACACCTGGCTAATTTTTTTTTTTTTTTTTTGTAGAGACAGGTCTGCTATCTTGCCCAGGCTGTTCTTGAACTCCTGGCCTCCAGTGATTCTCCTACCTCAGCCTTCCAAAGTACTGGTATTACAGGCATAAACTATTGTTCCTGGCCATCTAATAGGCATTTTTAAATTGGTTTAGCTTGATAGGAAGTTTTGAAATGCTGATGAAGCCTGTCAGGTTCTTCCCCCTTTGGAGATTATGTCCGCTTTTGGCCTACAAGTTGGGAATGAAAAGGTTGTATGTTCCTCTCTCTTTGGAGTAGCATGAATTTAATTCAATATGTTACTTTATAATCTCAGCTCTCTGAGGACCTGAAAAATGTTATTCTCTTGAAGACCTTTTCACTTGTTCTGGTTGTAGAGGCGGTAGTAACATTCTCTTGTGGCTTTCAATGTCCTAAACTAAAGTGGAGCATTGAGTGGTCAATGCTACTCACCTGACCACTGCTGAGAAACTGTTCATGGAAAAAGACATTAGACAGTGAAGTTGGACCATTGCCCAGCTACGTGAATCACCAAAAGAACTGATCATCTTTAAAAAAGATGTATTTTAAAGGTACCTTGGAAATATGTGGGTCAGCTTCTTCAACATTCACTCTATGGTTTCTGGCTAGTGATCAGGTTGTTGGATACATTTCCTAAAAGAGCCCAAATCCAGGAATGCTTAGTTGTATAAAAATGTACATATCCAAGAAAAATATGGTTCTGTGGGCGTCGTGATCTGTATTTCAAAGAGCAGTGGGCTTTGCCTTTCTTCTCTCCTTTCCATTTCTCTTTTCTTTGTGATGAAAACAAGGAAAGAAATCCACAAACCTTAATCAGAAAGTTTTTATTTCATTTAAAATGGCCAGTATAGGTAGATTTGTTTTCCCAGTTTTGCTTTGAAGCTGGCACTTGCGGATATGGTTTGTTTTCTCAATTTGTAAGCAAATCATCCTATGTCATCATAAAACGTGAATGAGTGACCGAGTCCACAGCCCTTTGATTGAGGACACACTCTTTATCTCTAAAGGAAATTTCCTAAGCTATTTAGTCCTTGAGATTGCTAGCTGTCCTTTAGGATATTAAATGTCAGGGAGTTTATGACACTTTTATTACTTTGTTAGAATGGCATTATATAATCTCAGCCACGTGTATTCTCTCTACCTCTTTGACCTCCTTATTCTCCTGAGCTCCAAATCTGATAATAAAAGGAACACTTAGATTAAAAATAAATAAATTTAACTAGTCTTTATGCTCTCTATTTGTTATTAATCTCCCACTTCCTACCTCCAGCGGATGGCTTTTTATTCCTGTAATTTACCTTTGAGAGTCAGGTTCTGCAGAGAATAAGTGGGAATTTAAAATGGTTTATGTCTGATTGTACAGTATTGTCAGAACTTGCTGGGGTAAGTTGAGAGCTGAATATACTAATCTATCTCAGGCCCCAATTCTCTCCCCAGATATGGGAGCTGACATTCACTCAAATTGTTGATCTAGAGGGTAAAAATATTTGAATCAAATTAGGGTCAGAGAGAGGAGACCCACCCTTTTACTGAAAACACAGCAGTAGCTGATCATCAATGAACAATAGTTACACTCACATTCTTCCAGGCTCTAATCCATTTTTCTCTGCTCCATTGAGCATGCAGAAATAAAGAGCTCTTGGCCAATGCAGGGACGACTTTAGCATTTCTGGTGTTTATTTATGATCATCTGGAGTCTATTTATGATCATCTGGAGTCATTGGCTTCAGGCTAAGTAGATTTTTCCTGGTCCAGTCATGTAGTTGAAGGGGATATGCACATTAGAGAGGCAAGGAAAACTATTGCAAGGAGTGGAGGGGGAATGCGAGAGACTTATTTGGTTCTAAAGCAGATGCAGTTTGGAATATAGTCCTAGAAAAATAGGATCCACTTTGCATGACAAGGGAAGAGCTGAGGAATAAACATGAGGTCAAGATAAGAGTGAGCAAGTCTCATTTGTTTAGTCCCAAAGAATCTCCTGATTTGGGCACCAGCTGGACTGAATAACAGGTCTCAAACCACAAGGCAATCTGCATTCTCCCAACTAACTAATAGGAAGGCCGGCCTAAAGAGCAATATCCTAGATGAAGCTAATTTGTATTTCATCATCCCCTTCACACTTGCTTGGTGTCTTTAAGAATCAAGAATATCTTAGTGTTCTTGGCAATTGGCACAACTGTATTTAACAGAGGAGCAAAGACTGCTGCAGTCTGGACACTGGAGCTATCTTTGAATAGCCAGAAACCAAGCAGGGGAATTAAGCTCGGCTAAATGCCATGTCCTTACTATTAGTCTTGGGCCAACAGGCCAGGCCTATTCGTTACCCTTAGTACTGAGTTGGAAATGTATCTGCAAATGCCAGTGAGAATCTCAATCTCTCTCTCTCTCTCTGTCTCTCTCTCTCTCTCTCTCTCTCTCTCACACACACACACACACACACACACACACACTCACATCCTGGAAAAGCTGTTTGAGCCAGGGCTGTCATTTAAACAGTTTGCTATGTCCAGCTGTATAGGTACCTTTTTTGTCTCAGTTGGC